>NC_000009.12:35464545-35616060 GCF_000001405.40 Homo sapiens | reverse complement strand
GACAGACAGAAGACGAAGGAGACCTTGCAAAGTGAGGAGCAACAGAGGAGGGCCTTGGAGCAGAAGCTGAGCAACATGGAGAACAGACTGAAGCCCTTCTTCACATGCGGCTCAGCAGGTATCCGCTCTGGGGAGAGGAGAGAAGGGAGGGATGGATTGGAGCAAGGAGATAGTAGTGGCAGGAGTCTATCACCCAGGGGCCTGTGAGGTGTTCAGGAAAGGGGCAGTGAACCAGAGTGGTGGCTGACATGAGCTGTTCAGCCTTGGCCAACAGAGAGAAGGACCAAGCTGCATACTAGATTTAGGGGGACCCACCCAGCTCCAAGGCTCATCCTGTAGGGGAGAGGAGGATGGCAGCCAGCAGTCCAAATCACACTGTCCAAGGTTTCTTCCGGTTGATATCAGTGACAAGGATCTGGGAACGCCCCCAAATTTGGATGTGAACTTGGCGGTTTGCACATCTTTCTAAAGACAGGGACCTCATTTTTAATTAATTTTCGTTATAGCTGAGATCTCCCCAAAGGGTAAGACTTACTGGCTGACATGGAGTGCAACCTGGTGGTGGGGCAAGGCAGTGAGGCGCTCAGCACTCACAGTGAGGTGGAGCTGGGAGTTGTGGTGTAGGGAACTAGGATGGGGTGTCCATTCATTTTGAAAGCAGGACCCCAGCCAGTAAGTGGAGATGGGGAAAGGGACACATAAAAGAGGCAAGGCTGTATCAAAACAGGCTGAGGGTCTAGGCAAGGTGCCACGCCTAAGGGGACTGGGGTGTTTTTGGGCTATGATCAGGTTTAGGCTCTGTCTAGCTTGGGGGTCATCTGGGTGATCTCCCCAGGCATAAGACAGCAAGATTATGTGCAGACACCCCTTGCCCTCATTTCCTTAACCTTACCCTCTGTGACCATCAGTTCCATGCCAGGGCTGCTCTTAGCAGCATGTTAGACCTCTACCTCCCAAATTGCTCTTCCGGCGAAAGGATGGTTTCAGACTTCCACTCTGATCACAGCTGCCCACCACTCCTGCAGGTTTTCCCCACACTTTTTTGATCTCATCAAGGCCTCCAATCTGCTGACTCCCCTTTTTCTCCCTTCCCATCAGTCCAGGCCTCCAATCAACTGATTCCCCTTTTTCTCTCTTCCCATCAGCTTCTCCTGTCCACACTTCTCTCCCTACCTAACATGGGTTTGGAGCCCATCACTTCAACTACTCACTTATTTTTTTAAATAGAGACAAGGTCTCACTATGTTTCCCTGGCCGGTATCGAACTCCTGGACTCAAGCGATCCTCCTGCCTCAGCCTCCCAAAGTGCTGAGATTACAGTCGTGAGCCACCGCACCTGGCTCACTCACTTCTTTGTTCCATTATCCTTCTAGTGTACCTGATGGGCAAAATTTGAACTCTGGATGAACCCAACTGCCCATGGTCAGCATCAAGGTGTGACAAATTGTGGAATCATTCTGCTCAGTGCCACTGAGACTCTAGTCTCTCAGCACTGCCTGGCAACCTTTGCAATGGTCAGCTTGCTCTCCATAGTAACTCCTTCTCCCTCACTTTCAGCAGATGTCCTCATCTTCCACTCTTTCAGAGAGGAATTCCCTTCACTTTCCATCACCAAGTCTATATATCCATATGGATTTTTGCCCATCCTCATCTTTTGCAAGGATATCTGCAACAGCTTTCTAAATGTTTTTCCTACTCACTCCTCTCCCTGCAGTCCATTCTTCATATTGGAGCCAGGGTAATCTTTTACAAACAAAAATCTGATCGTGTCACCCAATCTACAGCATTCCAGTTAATTGATTACATAAACAGTTATGGAATACATAACATATAATATGTTCTAGCACTGTGCCCAGGCACTTGGGATATAGCTAGTGAACAAAATTCCTCTATGTAAAACCCTACACTGACTTTCTCTTCCTCATAATATAAAAATAAAAATCCTTAACATGGCTTCCATCACTCCTGCCTACCTTTCAGTGTGCCACTTATCTCCTCACCCTCTTCCATTTGGCCATACAGATTTCTTTTTTTTTTTTTTTGAGGCGGAGTCTCGCTCTGTGAGACTGAAGTGCACTCCCAGGCTGGAGTGCAGTGGTGTGATCTGGGCTCACTGCAACCTCTGCCTCCTGGATTCAAGCTATCCTTTTGCCTCAGCCTCCCGAGTAACTGGGATTATAGGCATGCGCCATGGTGCCTGGGTATTTTTTGGTATTTTTAGTAGAGGTGGGGTTTCACCATGTTGACCAGGCTGGTCTTAAACTCCTGACTTCAGGTGATCCACCCCGCCTCGGCCTCCCAAAGTGCTGGGATTACAGAAGTGAGCCATTGTGCCCAGCAGGGATTTCTTTTTATTCCTTTAAGTTGCCATAGGACAGTAGCTCAAGGGAGTAGCAGGGTGGGGACATGAGCATATGTAGAGAGAAGAGAGGGAGCTAGTGGAGAGGGAATGATTTTTGAGTGATGAAGGTAGGACTGATGGAACAAAGCAATGGAGAGAGGTGGCCTGGGATCAGAAGTGCACATTGGGATGTAGGATGTTGAAGAAAGAGGGATATTTATTTCTTATGGATAGTCAGGAAAAGAAGAACAGAGAAGAGAAATTTTGAGGTGGAGAGGAGGGAAAAGGAGAGAGCTCAGTTTCTGCAAAACAGTACACAACATTTTCTGCTTGTAGGAAATTGGAGAGGGACGGAGGGGGCCAGTGCTGGAGGAGTGGAGGATGTGCAGTGAGGGGTGCTTTAGGGAGTGGAGGAGATGGGCCCAAGAGATGTTAGGTAAAGTGTCAGGGTGGACTGCAATTGTTCAGAAATTGGGGTAATAAAATCAGCCCTATTAAGACAGACCTCCCAGATTGCTAAGAAGTAATGTTGTTGAATGTTAAAGTCTTTTTACTAAGTAAGGACAGGTATGGTGTTTCCAGGGGATGCAAAAGAAAGATTGCAAAGATCATAGAAGTCCATGAAGGTGCTGAGATTAGCTCTGGGGGAATATTGTTAGCAAAAGATTGCTGAGTAGTCACTTTCATCCCAACTGTTGCTGCTATCACACTCTTTCTGCTTTTTAGACACCTGCTGTCCGTCGGGATGGATAATGCATCAGAAAAGCTGCTTTTACATCTCACTTACTTCAAAAAATTGGCAGGAGAGCCAAAAACAATGTGAAACTCTGTCTTCCAAGCTGGCCACATTCAGTGAAATTTATCCACAATCAGTAAGCATATCCTTACTCACAGACTGCAGTGGGTACTATTAGGTAAAGGGACATATGTCATCAAGTCAGGAATGGCAGTGCACACATGGCTGGGGTGGCCATTCCTTTTCCATGGAAGAAACTGAGAATCATAATACTCTTGACCTCTGAGCTTGGAAACAACCTCTGCATCTTCTCAGCACAGTGGTCCAGGCAGCCCCTAGTAACTGATTAGAGTTGGCATGAGAATGGAAACTTAACCATATCTACATTTTTTTTTTTTTGAGACAGAGTCTCACTCTGTCACCCAGGCTGGAGTGCACTTGCATAATCTCAGCTCACTGCAACCTCCGCCTCCTGGGTTCATGCAATTCTCCCGTCTCAGCCTCCTGAGTAGCTGGGACTACAGTCACATGCCACCACGCCCAGCTAATTTTTGTATTTTTAATAGAGTCGGGGTTTCACCATATTGGTCAGGCTGGTCTCTAACTCCTGGCCTCAGGTGATCCACCTGCTTCAGTCTCCCAAAGTGCTGGGATTATAGGTGTGAACCACTGCGCCCGGCCTCTACTTTAATGTGTATCTCATCTCAGCTTGCTGGTCAGCTCCCTGGGCTGCTTGACAGGTTCCTGGACTCTTGTGGCCTCTCAGGCAGAGAGGTCCCACACCTGGTGGGCTGGATTGTAGGGATTAGTTCCTTGGGGCCAGAACAGCACACAGAATGACTCCCCTCCAAAGGCTGGCAGAGATTCTTACTCAGCTGGAAGGCAAATTTAGCAGTGAGCCTGCATCTGCAGGGTGGCACTTGATGGATTCAGGGACAAGTTACCAAAGAGCTGTCATATATACAGCCCCCTTGCCAAAGCTGAGGCCTCCCTAGGGTGTGCATTTTCTTCCATATTTCTCATCACTCTCCATGTATCTCTGGTCTCTCTGAATCTCCCCTCAGCACTCTTACTACTTCTTAAATTCACTGTTGCCAAATGGTGGTTCAGGGAATTCATATTGGACTGGCCTCAGCTCTAACAAGGATTGGAAGTTGACTGATGATACACAACGCACTAGGTAAGTTTGTTAGGACTTCTGGGTATTTTCAACTCCATAATCCCCTCCATAAAGACATGGTAATCAGATTTCCTTCCCACCTGGTCCCCTCAGGACTCTCCCATAAATCAACACTGTAATTGCCTATTTGTCTGTTTCCTCTATTTGATTAATAACTTCTTAGGGCAATCTTATTCTCCATTCTATTTCCACCTAGAAGTCCCTGGCACATACTTTTTTGTTTCAGTAACTACTAGGTTGGGACCTACGCTATCTTTTAGGGGGAGACATTAAGGATTTAGTTAAGGCTCCACAGCTGATGACAGCAGCGTTTCTCCATCCTTCGAGAAGGCCACCCAAACTGAGGTTGTACTTTCTCAGTAGCGGCCACTTGGGGCACTAGAGCTGCCTCAGTGAAGTACGCAAGGGAGCAGCGGGGGTACCATCGAAGCTCCACTTCACTGTGATCAAGACAGCAGTGGGGTACCATTGAGGATCAACCCTAGGGACCCTGAAACAGGGTGGCAACCTCCTTATGTTCCTCAATTGGCCTTCCCATCTTTTTTTTTTTTTTGAGATGGAGTCTCGCTCTGTCGCCCAGACTGGAGTGCAGTGGTGCAATCTCAGCTCACTGCAAGCTCCGCCTCAGGGGTTCACACCATTCTCCTGCCTCAGCCTCCCCAGCAGCTGGGACTACAGGCGCACACCGCCATGCCCGGCTAATTTTTTGTATTTTTAGTAGAGACGGGGTTTCACCGTGTTAGTCAGGATGGTCTCGATGTCCTGACCTTGTGATCCACCCGCCTTGGCCTCCCAAAGTGCTGGGATTGCAGGCATGAGCCACCGTGCCCAGCCTGGCCTTCCCATCTTTAAGATCTCGAGTTATTTTTCCCTCTGCTGGTTCTAAAGTCTGTTTTAGTTGAACTCCAGACATCTGTCCTGAACCATGCCCAGATGTGGCCTTAGGCAGGCAGGGTGAGTTAGGATTTAGGTTTTATACAGGGGAAGGGGAGAGAAGGGAGGGTGGGATATGTCCAGAGCATATCCCAGCTCTACCTTACTACTTTTTAGGACTTATGCTCAAAGCTCAAAATGTAACAAGGTACATAAAACTTGGTCATGGTGGACACTGGAGTCAGAGTCATGTAGAAGTTCTCTTCCCTACATCTGTGAGATGACAGCTTTCAGGTTTCCAGATTAGGACAGTCCTTTGCACTGAGTTGGTAAGAGTGAGGGATGGGGCTGAGGCATGGGGAGTCCAGGGGCAGAGGGACTCAGAGCAGGGACTCAGAGCAGGGGCCCAGGGGCCCGAGAGAAAACTTGTACCTGGGATGAAAGTTCCTCCACAGCCTCCAGTTGCTTGGTCTGCTTGTTAGGGTGGGGTGGGCAGGGAGGGACAGGTAAGGCCTACAACTTATGGGAGGCTGGTGGTGTGGCTGTCGAGAGCTGAGGAGGAGATGGGGTGAGTGGGATGAGGGTTCAGTTAAGTCAACCATGGAGCTCACTGATACTTTACTTTTCCAGACACTCATGCCAACAAGAACCTGTGCCCCTCCTTCCTAACCTGAGGCCTGGGGTTCCTCAGACCATCTCCTTCATTCTGGGCAGTGCCCAGCCACCGGCTGACCCACACCTGACACTTCCAGCCAGTCTGCTGCCTGCTCCCTCTTCCTGAAACTGGACTGTTCCTGGGAAAAGGGTGAAGCCACCTCTAGAAGGGACTTTGGCCTCCCCCCAAGAACTTCCCATGGTAGAATGGGGTGGGGGAGGAGGGCGCACGGGCTGAGCGGATAGGGGCGGCCCGGAGCCAGCCAGGCAGTTTTATTGAAATCTTTTTAAATAATTGCACGTGTTAGTCTCATGTGTCAGCAATGCTGTGTCTGGTTCAGTGATCCCCACGGGAACGCGAGCCGGGGGGTCGACTGGAAGTGCTCTGTCCCTTGAGTCCATGCTGGGGCTCCCCTACACGGGGAGAAGAGCCGGTCAGCCCATCTGGAACTGGCACTGTCCAGCAAGTGTGCTCTGTTCTTACAGGGTGTCCTGAAGGCCAAAGTTGGAGGCCTGAGACCACGGGCTCCACTGCTAAGAGCGTGCCCCAGGCAGCTGCAGGCTGGGTGTGGGTGGCTTGGCGTGGTGCCCTCGGTGGCAGAGGAGACTGCCCGCCTCACAGTTCAGGTTGCGGTAGCGGGCAACAGCTGGTGTGGGGCGGGGGCACATGGACAGGAAGCCAAAGCTGAAGGGGCCGAGGCAGCAGCCAGGACAGGGCAGCCCCTCATCGGGCTCCCGGGGAGCTGAAGGGGGTGGCGAGGGTTCTGTCCGCTCCAGGGCTGCCGCCCGGGGCAGGCTATGCTGGGCCCGGTTCCAGGGCTCCCCAGCCCAGCCTTGTGGGGAGTTCACCACCACAGCTGGGGGATTGTTATTGAGGACGGGTCCTGATCTAGGGGACCAGGGTTGGGAGGCCGAGGAACAGGTGCTGATGAAGTTGTCTGTGGCCACAGCCAGAGGCAGCTGGGGCGCTGGCCCTGGAGGTTCCGGCTCAGGGCTGCTGCCCTCGCACTCCATCTTCTCTTCAGCCGAGGGGCCCACAGCGGGAGGGCCAGGACCTGGCAGTGCTGTCTCCATACGGCGGGGGAGCTCGGGGGATGAGGGTAGTGAGCGGCAGCGGCGGGCAGGTGTCCCAGGCTGGACCAGGGTCTCCGGAGTGGTCACCAAGGGCAGCTGAGTGGATGGGAATGGTGATGGTGGCACAAGAGGCAGGACTGGCTTGCTGGGTGTGTCTAAGAGCTTGATCTTGCCACCCCTGAGGTCTTCCCGTAGTGAGAAGGGGTTGACTCGAGTCAGATTGTCCCCCCAGTTGGGGGGTGATTCTGGTGATGGGGGCAGGAAGAGGTCTGACCGGCTTCGGGAAAGCCGGGGATCTGGCCTGGGAAGCGTGGCAGAGGGACCCCCTCTTGCAACAGAGCCTGTAGATAGAGAAGTCTGGAATCACTGTCCTCAGCATTTGATCACAGCTCCTTGAGGGCCTCACTATTCTCCAGGAGGCTGGTGGGACTAGAGCTTGAAAAAGGGAGTCCCACCTGGTGCTTTGGAAAGGGGTGATGTCATCTCCAGGCCCCTTTTACTTCTTTCCCCTCCTCTCCCTCAAGCTTTAGCATTAGGAAACTGTCTTCTTGGAGATGTCCTCCCACCCTACCCCAGCCCGACCCCCAGCCTTTTCAACTAATAAATATACTTAGCCTCCCCCATGTCACCTCTGAATTCTAGGGAGGACAAAGGCCAAAGGACTCAAGCTGGATCAAGGTCAGGCTCCCTTACCCTGATTGTGTGTCAGGGCGGTCCTGGTGAGTGGGGCTGGCTCAGGCAGCTGCTCCAGGATCCATTCCAGGTGCTGGGTAATTTCGGTGAAGGGGGCACGGGTGCTGGGTTCCAGCTGATGGGTAGAGACAGGAACGGCTTCACTCAGTGCTCCGAAAGAGGGTCTCTGAGTTTCCTCCCATCACCTGGGTCCCACAGGGCAGCCATGGCAGCTTACGGATGGGGGCAGGGTGGGGCAGGAAGGAGTGTGAGGCTCTTACGTTGCAGCAGTGGATGGCCAGGAGCAAGAAAGGCAGTGGGCAGTCATCCCCCACCAGAGTTCGGAAAGCAGGCACATCCAGGCCAAAGTCCTGTGGGGACAGAAGGAGGGACCTCCAAGTCAGCTTTTCTTGGGTTCTCCTTCTGCTCCCCAGTCAGAACCTCAACCTCTAGGGAATCCTCCTTGGTTATGAGCCAGCTAGTCTGGAATTCTTTCTTTGCAAACCTAGAAACATTCACCTCAGTGCGTGGTAGGTAGTCAGGGTCTGCAGGTACTCGGGCGATGAGCTCACAGAGGACAATCCCGAAGGCAAAGACATCAGCCTGGGGGTCAGAGATAATAGTGTCGGGGAAGAATTAACAGTTTTCATTTCAGAATTTTGACAGAATATAGCAGAATTTGGTTGAGGGTGGGGGATCTTGACAGTTTTCATGTGTTAGAAGGGTGCCTGTGAGGGGCAAAGGGATCTTGGGGACTCCTGAAGATCTGGTAGGGTTGTTTTGGGGATGGATGGGGCTTTATGAGAATACCTCAAGGGTCTCGGAAGGCCTTGGGGATCTGAAGGGTTGATGTCTCACCTTCTCATCATACAGCTCACCCCGTAACACCTCTGGAGCCATCCAGTATGGGGAGCCCACCACGGCCAATGGCTCCTTCCTTGCCCCCTCCCTGCAGGGGCAGGGGCAGAGTGGTCAGAAGCATCCTATTCAGGCATCCCCCCCAGGCAAAAGGGGATGAGGTGAACTCCCTCCGTTCCCCAAGGGAAACATCCCTGGGGCTCTGGGGACATCAGATAGGGGCACTCTGGGAGATTTGGGGGGAACAGGGACATTCATCTCACCTATACACAGGAATCTTTTCGGCCAGCCCGAAGTCACCCACGACAGCGGTGAAGCCTCGATCTTCCCGTCGGACTAGACAGTTCTGACACACACACACATAGTATCCCCACGCACTCATCACCTTCTGCTGTCTGGCCTCCCAATGTATAACCCAAAGCCCTGTCACTCCAGCATAACTCCAACCCTCTCTGCTCTCCCAGTTTTTCAAGGCACTTCAATATTGCAACATCATCCAACACTCCAAACACAGGGTGCTACTCAGTCCCTCCGAGCACTCCCCTCACCCTGGTCCCCCAATATTCTCCAATGCCTTGCCACTCCAACATCCTAATATATCTGTTATCCATATTCCAACATCCACAGGCCAGTTACAACCTAATAGCCTCAAACCCTCTTTCATGTCTCCACCCACCCTGCTAGCCTACCTTGGATGTGAGGTCGCGGTGAAATACACCTTTGGAGTGCAGGTACCGCAGGCCTCGGGCAATGTCCAGGGCCAGGTGGAGCCTGACCGGCCAGGACAGGGGTTCAGGGGAGCTGAGCAGCTGTTCCAATGTCCCCCCATTCATATACTGGTGCATAGGAGGAGAATGGGAATAGATGTCAGACTTCAGTCTGTATTCTAGGTCCCCCACTTACACGCTAGGGGACACTCCCGAGGATCACAGAGGTCATAGGGGTAAGACTGTGCTGTAGGACCCCCCCCATCCATGTTCTAGGATTGCCCCGTTCAACTCAATAGCCATTAGCCATGTGCAACAATTTAAATAATTTAAAAAATTTTTTAATCAAGTTGACCCACAAAAAATAATCTAAACAATGAAAATAATTTAAATTTAACCACATGTGGCTAGTGGCTACTGTATTGGACAGCACAGATAGAGAACATTTCCGTCACTGAAGAAAATTCTATTGGACAGCACTGTTCTAGGGGATACAGAGAATAAGACCAGTTGAGGCCTTTTATATGTGGTTTGCCTAAAGGAAAGTTCAGGAAAGCCTCCCCTGAGAGGAGATCCTGTTGCCTCTCACTAGTCCTCCGTAGATCCACCAGGCCTGTTGACTCCCTTTATCCTTGGGGGTGAAGGGGGGTGGGGATCCCTCCTTCCTGGCCTATCCTCACCTCTGTAAGAGCGTGCAGCTGTCCCTGGTGCACACAGACTCCCATGAACCTGCAAGAGGATGGGGAAGATAGAAGGATAGGCTATTAAAGGCCTCAGCTCCTCCTCAGTTCCACTTTTCCCGCGGGATCTTTCCCTTTCTCTCCCGCCCAGCAAGCTGCCCAGAGACTGGGGCCGCTCACCTTAGGATGTTGGGGTGCCTGAGCCGGTTCATCAGCTGCACTTCCCGTAGTGTGTTGCCCCGGTTACTGGGGAGCTTGTTCATCTTCAGCACCATGACTTGCCCTGACTGTCGGTGCCGAACCTGGGGGCAGGAGCAGCCGGCGAGGGCCGGGCAGGTCGGGCGGGTCGCCGGAGTCTGGACCCTCTTCCCCGCACTCCCGGCCCCCTAGTTTCAGCCTCTGGTTGAAGGCTCGGTCCCGCCCCTCTGCCCTCTCGGCCGGTCCTACCTTGTAGACCTCAGAGAAGAAGCCGGCCCCGATCTTCTCCGCGCAGTGAAAATCGTCCACACGCGCCAGGCTAGACACGGCGCTGCGGAGAGCCCGGTAGGAGGAGGGGCGGCCCCGGCCCGGGCCTCCGCCCGTGCCCCCCGGCCCCGGGGGCCCCTCCCCCGGCACCTCTCCAGGCCCGGGCCCAGGGCCCCGCAGTGGGGGCCGTTCCCCGGCCATGGCCGGGCCCCCAGCCCGGGCCTGCCTCACATGGCAGGGTCCCCAGGGCCCGGGCAGGCCGCGCTTGCCATGGGCGCGGGCCCAGCCCGATCCCGGGCGCCCGGACTCCGGCTCCCGCCCTGAGAATGGAAGATCCGCCGAAGATCCTGGACCCGCCCCCGCCGCGCCGGCTGGCTGGGCCCGGGTGGACGCCGCGCCGCTCCGCTCCGCGCAGGGCCTGGGCTTGGGCCTGGACCGGGCGGTGGCGGTGACGGTGGCGGCAGCGCTCCGGGGCGCCGGCGGGCTGGCTTGCCGCGGGCGGAGGCGGGCGGGCGGGCGGGCGGCGGCTGCTCCGCTTAGCCGCCGGGGATCAGGCTCCGCGGCCTGCCGGGGGCGGGGCTGGGCCGGGCCTCCGCTTAACTCCTTCCAGCCCGGCCTCCCGGCAGCGGCCACGCCCCCTCAGGTGCGCACCCCCGCCTCCCCGCTTTCCGGCCGCGATGCCCTGGGCCGCCCGGGTCAAATAAGCTCCGGCCTGAGCTTGAATAACGGGAGGGAATTAAGGGCTGATGGTGCGCATGCGAAGCTTAGCTGCCCAGGGAGTCCCCTCTCCTCCCTGGGTTACTGTCCGTTGAGGGTCGGGCTCAGAAACCTGCCGGATTCCTGGGCTCCAGGGACCAACGGGGCAGAAAGGTAGGCCCCTCAGGCCCAGCCGCAATCAGAGGTAGCCTAGCAACCTGTCCACCTTCCTGGCCTGCGCCCCGGCCCAGCCTGCCCATTTCCCAGGTCTCTTCGACTCCGACACCTTGAACCTCTGGCCTCCCTAACACCTTCTACCTTCACGGGAGGTTGTGATACCCCGGGGCTATAGGAAGCCTTTGGCCGGCCCATACCCAGCTTAGCCCCGACTCCTCCTCACTTCATCCTGCCGCCTCCCAATAAAGAAGAGAGTCCAGGTCCTCCGCCCTGTGACCACCCAGCCGGGACCTCCCTCTTACTACTTTGCCCAAAAGACTCTAAGAGAGAAGCCTCCACCTGCAGGGAAGCCCGTCCTTCCGCAAGATCCCACCCCCCTCAAAGAACGCTGTCCCTCGGAGACCCCTCCCTTCCTCAGTGAGACACCTCCCTTTCGGGGGCACTTTTCCCCAGTGTGGCACTGCCACCGTCAGTGTGTCAGAACCCCTCAGTGCTGCACCCCCTTGCTCTGTGTTCCTCCCACGCAGTGAGACCCCACCTCCGAGGAAATCCACTAGTCATTGTGACCCCTCCTCTCAAGGTGACTCCTCCCCTCAGTGTGACCCAGCCCTCCTCAGTGTGAGGGTTCCGCCCTCCACGTAGGAACACGGTCTGCCCCCTAAGGCCGGAGGAGGGGCTGCAACTGGCCTCTTTAAGTCGGCGCGGTGCCTGGGTGCGCACGCAGTCTCAGGACTCCGTGCACTCGCCGTACCAGACGCTTCCGGTTCTGCCGCTGGTTCCTCCTCCGGCCTCGGCGAAATAGCCAATCATCGCTAGGGTTGGGTGGTGACACGCGATCCCGGCGGTCCACTCCGGGGCAAACGGTTTAAAAGGGCGTCGTTGAGCCGCCTGCCACCTAGCGGCGGAACGGTGGGCGGAGGGAGAGAAAGCTGCCGTCTCGAGTGCGGAGGCAGGCTGAGAGCTCCTCGAGGAAGCGAGGCTGAGTCCTGCAGGAATTCTCAAGTACTGTATTGATATTTCTGTAGTAAGCTTAAAAGAGAATTAATACAAGCACAGTCCGTATCGCGTGGGGTTACCGTCTTCCAATGGAGTCTGGTTACACGTTTATGAGACTTGGAGCCAAGAAATACTACTCGCTTGTCGAGGGCTACTGAGAAAAGAATAAAGACGGTCATAAATGATACATGATGCCTTAGAGTCAAGAGAAGGCCAGATGCTGTCTTGGTGCGCTGTACAAGGGAAGGTATTGCACAAGTTTGGAGCGAGAGGAATGGGAGACATTCGCAATCCTTCCACAGCCGGTGGAGGCAGGCCAACCTCACAGAATTGCACGGGGCACGTGCATCCTGTTCTTTTTTCTGGAGGCGTTTGGTCTTCAGCACACGCTCATTCATCACATTAATGTTAACATCTACAACTAATTTGTGAATTTGCTTTTTATTGTATGACATCTGTAAACACTAGGAATTTATGCCTCATTTTGTTTAATATCATAGATCTTTTAACCGACACTGGGTTCTGGCCCTTTATCACGTTTGAGAATTACTGTAGTAGTTGGTGATGGTAATGCCAAGCCAAAGAGCCAGGTGCCTATTTTTTGTAAGATGATTGCGGTGGTTGTATGGAGGCCGGGAGACTGATTAGGAAGGAGGCTGTGACTGTGGTTCAATCAGGAAAGGATGAGACCAGCCTGGCCAACGTAGTGAAACCCCGTCTCTACTAAAAATACAAAAAAATTAGCCTGATGTGGCGAGCGCCTGTAATTCCAGCTACTCTGGAATCTGAGGCAGGTGAATCGCTTGAACCCGGGAGGCGGAGGTTGCAGTGAGCCAAGATCGCGCCATTACACTCCTGTCTAGGCGACAAGAGCGGGACTCTGTCTCAAAAAAACCTTTTGTTGTTGTTTGTATGGTGGAAAATGTCTTAACACACACACACAGAATAGAAAAATGAATGTTTATTTACCTTGGATTAGTAAGACCATTTTGTTGGAAACCCATAGTGCAAAATTGGCTTTCCTTTGCCTCAGTTGTACTGTTGCCATATTTGACCTGGCCCAGGTGAAAGTACCTACTTTCATTTACCCTTCTATGTCAGTGATTCTCCAATGAGCAATTCATGGCCAATCTTGTTTCATCTATACCCGTGCCCTCTTCCCCACTCCATATTTGTGTATATTTCTGACATATCATTTCATCCTGTAAATGTTTCAGTACGTTATCTCTAAATGATAAGGATTCTTCTTTAAAACCAAATCACAGTATTGTCACACCAAAAAAAAACAATAGTTCCTTCATGTCATCAAGCATCCAGTTGTTTACATTTCCCTCACTGTCTTACGTTTGATTTTTAAAAATTGTTTATTTGAATCAAAATCTAAATTAGGTCTGTACTTTGCAGGTGATATGTCTGTCTGTCTGTCTCTCTTTTTGTGAGACAGGGTCTGGCTCTATCACCCAGGATGGAGTGCAGTGGGTTGATCTCGGCTCACAGCAACCTCCACCCCCGAGGCTCAAGCAATCCTGCCTCAGCCTTCTGAGTGGCTGGGACTACTGAGGTGTGGGTACCACCACACCTGTCTAATTTTTGTATTTTTGTAGAGATGGGGTTTGCCACGTTGCCCAGGCTGGTCTCAACTCCTGGGCTCAAGCATTCCATTCGCCTTGGCCTCCCAAAGTGCTGGGATTATAGGTGTGAGCCACCACACCCAGCCATATGTTTCTTAAGTCTTTGCAGATCTATGCTTATTCTCCATCTTTTTTCTTACTATTTTTTAAAACTGGTTCATTTGTCCTGTAGAGTTTCTTAGAGTCTTGATTTCTGTGGTAATTTAGCATGTTCCTCCATCCTCTGTATTTGATATAAATTGGTAACTTAATCAAATTTAGATTTCTTTTGGCAAAACTAATTTGTAGATGGTTTTAGCACTTCTATCAGGAGGTATACAGGAGGTATACAGTGGTGGTCTTTTTGTGATTTTAATAACTGATATTTGTTTCTCAACCGTGGCACTATTGACATTTTGGGCTGGAAAATTCTTTATTGTAGGGGCTGTCCTGTGTATTGTAGGATGCTTAGCAGCATCTCTGGCCTCTACCTAATGGATGCCAGTAGCACCTCCTCCTGACTGTAACAATAAAAAAATGTGTCTAGACATTGCCATTTGTCCTCTGGGGGACAAAATTGACCCTGAATAAGAACCACTGGTCTAGGTTCATTAATAGAGGAGTTAAAGCTGGGCATGGTGGCACGCGACTATAGTCCCAACTACATGGGAAGTTGAGCCGAGAGGGTTGCTTGAGCCCAGGAGTTCGAGTCCAGCCTGGGCATCATAGCAAGACCCTGTCTCAAAATAAATAAAAAGTTAGAAAATAATATTATCATTCCTTCTTTGAATGAATTCCTATAGAAGTATTAGGTAGAATAATTCTATAAGGAGAAACTTTTCCACATTAACTATTTGTTACACAGAGATACATTTCCTAGGAAAGGCAGAATAAATACTTGATTGTTTCTCACTTATTTTACCAGCTTTCAAAGTAATGAGTTGGTTCCCCAGCATCTTCCAAAGTTGACCGATGAGGTTTTTTTTAAAGTACCATTATGAACTCATAATTTAACACATATGTGATATACTCAATTATTGCTAGTTATCTTTTTTTTCTTTTTGAGACGGGTCTCACTCTTTTTCAGGCTGGAGTGCAGTGGCACAAAGCTCACTGCAACCTTGACCTCCCGGGCTCAAGTGATTCTCTCATCTCAGCCTCCCAAGTAACTGGGACTACAAGCACGTGCCATCACACCTGGCTAATTTTTAATTTTTTTGTAGAGACAGGGTCTCACCATGTTTTGCCCAGGCTGGTCTCAAACTCCTGGCCTCAAGTGATCCTCCTGCCTTGGCCTCCCAAAGTGCTGGGATTACAGACATGAGCCACTGCACCCAGCCCAGTTATTGATTGATTGATTGATTGAGATGGAGTCTTGCTCTGTCACCCAGGCTAGAGTGCAGTGGTGTGATCTCGGCTCACTGCAAACTCCGCTTCCCAGGTTCAAGCGATTCCCCTGTCTCAGCCTCCTGAGTAGCTGGGATTACAGACACCTGTCACCACGCCCGGCTGATTTTTGTATTTTTAGTAGAGACAGAGTTTCACCATGTTGGCCAGGCTGGTCTCAAACTCCTGACCTCAGGTGATCCTCCTGCCTTGGCCTCCCAAAGTGCTGGGATTACAGGCGTGAGCCACTGCGCCCAGTTATCATTTTTGGTGCTTGTCCTATTGTTACGGGATCTTTGGGGCGTCCTTTTTCTGGCCAGAAACCTCTGTGGCTGGTGGTGCTTTTGCCCCAGTTTTGCTCAGGCCCTCTGGGCTTGTTTCGCCTACCCAGCCTGGCAGCCTGTGCTTGGCTCACGCTACCAGCCTGGGTCCCATGCCTGCCAAGGGTGAGACAGGCGTGGAACAGTTAGGGGTATGTGAGTGAGCATTGGGTCCAGCCACTGTGCACAGTCAGACATTCCGGGTGCTGCAGTGGGGCGGGCAGTTCCAGGTGCCAGCATGGCACCATTTCCCTGCAAGCCTGCGGCCGGACCAGGCACATGGCAAGCAGCTTCCACAGCTGGCACTGGGGGACACATTGGTGCCTGGAAGCTTGGAGATGCCAGGAACAGCAGGTCCTCAAAGAGGAAGTCACAGCCCTGGCTTGGGGAGCTCCCAGGGCTAGGCTCCCCGAAGGGCTGCAGTTCTTCTTTCCTTGCCTTCACCCACAACGTGGCAAGCAAGGGTCATGTCTCACCCCCGTTTGTTACAGCTCTTTTAGCCTCACCATTTGGTGGGTCCTGAGTTCTTGTCCTGCGACAGGAAGAATGAGGTACGCAGACAAGTGAAGAGTGAGCAAGACAAAGAGTAGCTTTATTGAGCAATAGAACAGCTCAAAAGAAACCTGCAGGGGGCAGCTCCTTTCCCTAGCAGGGGTGTCCTGAGGCATGTTCAGCTCCTAGCAGAGAGGGTAGCTCCTCTCTGCTAGGCAAGTCGTCCTGACAAGTGTTCAGCTATCAGCAGGGAGGGTAGCGTCTCTCTGCAGCTGGTTGTCCTGTCATCTGTGCAGCTCTCAGCAGAGGGGAGGCCCTAGAGTGGGTGGCTTCTCTCTGCAGGTATGTCATCCTGTAGTCTCTGCAGCTCTCAGCAGAGAGGAGGCCCCAAAGTTGGTTGCTCCTCTCTGCAGCTGGTTGTCCCAACATCTGCGGCTCTCACAGAGAGGAGGCCTTGGTGTGGGTAGCTCCTCTCTGCAGCTGATTGTCCTGACGTCTGCTCAGAGCCTGGGCTTTTATGGGCCTTAGAGGGGAGGAAGTGCATGCCAGTTGGTCCTGGGCAGCCATGGGTGGGCCTGGAAGTGTCACCACAAGTTCCCACTCCCATAGTGTGATGGGCAGCCCGGTCCCCAGCCTTCAGGCCCTCCCTGGCCTGAAAGTGGGGCCTTACCAGGGACCTGCCCCATCCGCTCAGAAGCCTGTCTGCCTCCTGCTGCCATTCATGGTGCCCAGGCTGTAGGTGCCAAGAGGCGCCTGCAGGCCAGTGCTGAGCTGCCTTCAGACCCCACTTGGCTTCCCTCCTATGCTCATTGGCACCCAAAATCTGTAGGGGACCAAAGCAGCAGGGGACTGGTGTGTCAGCACTGCTCCGAGTATGTGCACACTCGGCCAGGCTGTGACAGTGCCCAGGCTCTGCTCGGACTTTGTTCTGAGATTGGAGTGGGCACCAACAGCAGGAAGAAGCCAGGCAGTTGGAGCAGGAATTTCTGAGCCTGTGAGGCCTTCTGGGGCCCCAAGAGGGCAGGGATTCCTGAGTCTGCAGCCACTCTTTGAGTGGCTGCACCTACACCTGGCAGGGGCGGGGCTCCTGCCTGCTCTGCTGAGCAGGAGGCCTGAGTCTGCAGCTGTGGTTTGGGTGGCTGCAGCTGCGCCTGGAAAGGTAGGGCTCCTGTCTGCTCCCGGTCCTGAAAGCACAGGGATGCCTGGGTCCACAGCCGTGGCTTGGGCGGCTGCAGCAGCACCCAGGGAGCTCCCACCCCAACTTGGAAGGGACAAGGATCCCGCTTGTCCCCAGCTCCTGTTGGCTCCATGGAATGTGCAGCCCTGGCCATGCCTCCCTGCTGCAGCTGGCATGATGGCAGCAGCCACTGCAGACAGCCTGCTGCTGCCATCACTATTTTGTTCCCACTGGCCAAAACTGTCCTATTTTGGCCAGTGGGAACTTATTCAAGTTAGTTCCTGAGTCCTTCTGACATAAATTTCCAGTTTTCTTGCTATCCAATATGATAAAATGTTCTGGACTCATTTTGTGCATATCTAGACCAGAGCTGGTATCAGCTACTTTTTTTCCCCAGTGATTCATGGTCTTTTTTAGTGGGAAATGGTGTTTGGATACCACAACCTGGGTATTAGAGGAATATAAAGTTATTGACCTTAAAAGCAGTTAAATGAATGTGGTTGATTACTCATTATTCTCAAAATAGTATCCCCATGTTGGGCATGGGGGCTCATGCCTGTAATCCCAGCACTTTGGGAGGCTGAGGCAGGAGGATCACTTGAGCCCAGGAGTTTGAGACAAAGCTGAGCAATGAAGTGAGGCCCCCTGTCTACAAAACATCAAAAAATTAGCCAGGAGTGGTGGTGCATGCCTGTGGTCCCAGCTACATGGGAGGCTGGGGTAGGAGGAATCCTTGAGCCCAAGAGGTTGAAGCTGCAGTAAGCCATAATGCTGCCACTGCACTCCAGCCCAGGCGACAGAGCAAGACCCTGTCTCAAACCCTCAAAAACAGTCACCCTAATCTCTTTATTATGAAAAAATTCAAACATGCAGAAAAGTTGAAGGAATGCATAATGAACACCTGTACATCATTCATGTAAATCCAACAATTGTTAACATTTTGTCCTATTAGTTCTCTCTAATATAGAATAGGTATAACATATAATAGTAATAATACAATATAATTTTTTTTTTTTTTGAGACAGAGTCTTGCTCCGTTGCCCAGGCTGGAATGCAGTGGCATGATCTTGGCTTACCACAACCTCTGCCTCCTGGGTTCAAGTGATTCTCCTGCCTCAGCCTCCTGAGTAGCTGGGACTACAGGCGCTTGCCACCATGCCCGACTAGTTTTTGTATATTTACTAGAGATGGAGTTTCACTATGTTGGCCAGGCTGGTCTCAAACTCCTGACCTCGTGATCTGCCCGTCTCAGCCTCCCAAAGTGTTGGGATTACAGGTGTGAGTCACCGCACCCGGCCTATAATATAAATCTTATTGTAGCATTTGAAAATATGTCGAGGCCAGGTGCGGTGGCCCATGCCTGTAATCCCAGTTACTCCGGAGGCTGAGGCAGGGAATTGCTTGAGCCCGGGAGGCAGAGGTTGCAGTGAGCCGAGATTGTGCCACTGCACTCCAGCCTGGGCAATAGAGCAAGACTCCGTCTCAAAAAAAAAAAAAAAAAGTATGTTGAAGGTGTCATCCTCATTTCAAAATCATTAGCAGTGTCTCCTAAGGTCATTTTCTATGAAAACATAATACCGTATCTTGAATCACTTTCTTCATTTGGTTTCTTGATTCTCCTCATATTTCACTGGCTCCTTCTCCCAGGTCTCTTTTGCTGGTTCTTCTTCAGCTTCCTGACCTCTAAACAGTGGAATACACAGGGCTCTGTCATTGGATCTCTTCTCTTCTCCCTCTACATACACATTGTGGGTCATTTCATTAACTCTAAGGCCTTAAATGCTATCTACTTGCTGATGACTTCCGTTTTCTCTCCCTTGCCCAAACCTTTCCTCTGAACTCTAGATTCCTATGTTCAGTTGCTTACTCATCATTTTCTTTTTTTCTTTTCTTTTTTTTTGAGATGGAGTCTTGCTGTGTTGCCCAGGCTGGAGTACAGTGATGTGACCTCGGCTTGCTGCAACCTCCACCTCCTGGGTTCAAGTGATTTTCCTGCCTCAGCCTCCTGAGTAGCTGGGATTACAGGGGCTTGCCACCATGCCTGGCTAATTTTTTTTTTTAATTGTTAGTAGAGACGGGCTTTCACCATGTTGGCCAGGCTGGTTTTGAACTCCTGACCTCAAGTGATCTGCCTGCCTCAGCTTCCCAAGGTGCTAGGATTACAGGCATTAGCCACTGCTCCTGGCCATCATTTTCACTTGGATATATCTAATTGGCTTTTCAAAATCAATGGGTACAAAAAATAATTTTCTTTTTTTACATTTTCGGAGATGGTCTTACTTTGTTGTCCAGGCTGGAGTGCAGTGGTACAATCACAGCTCACTGCAGCCATGCCCTCTTGGGCTCAAGCAATTCTCCCACCTTAACCTCCCAATAGGTGGGACTACATGCATGTGCCATCATGCCTGGCTAATTTTTAAATTTTTGGTAGAGACAGGGTCTCCCTATATTGCCCAGGTAGGTTCTAAACTCCTGGGCTCAAGCCACCCTCCTGCCTTGGCCTCCCAAAGTGCTGGGATTATAAGCATGAGCCATTGCACCTAGCCCAAAACAGAACTCTCGATTCCTGCCCCTCTTCTCCACCTTTTTCTCTCTCTTCCCTATCTCAATAAATCCAATGCAGCGGCCAGGCATGGTGCCTCATGCCTGTAACTCCAGCACTTTGGGAGGCCGATGTGGGAGGATCACCTGAGGTCAGGAGTTCGAGACTAGCCTGGCCACAGTGGCAAAACCCCGTCTTTATTAAAAATACAAAAAATTAGCCGGGTGTGGTGGTGGGCACCTGTAATCCCAGCTACTCAGGAGGTTGAAGCAGGAGAATCGCTTGAACCTGGGAGGCAGAGGTTGCAGTGAGCCGAGATTGCGCCATTGCACTCCAGCCTGGGTAATAAGAGTGAAACTCTGCCTCAAAAAAACAAAACAATAAATAAATAAATCCAATGTATTAGATGCTCAGGCAAGAAAATTCAGAATTATCCTTGACTCTTTTCTTTCTACCCCATAGCCAGCCCATCAGCAAAGCATATAGCTGTACCTTTGGAATCTATGCATAACCTGACTACTTCTGACATTTCCACTACCTCTGACCCAATCTAAGCCATCAGGTCTTTTGCCTGGATTGTTGCAGTAGCCTCCTTTTTGGTCTTCCTGTTTATGCCTTTGCCCCCATTCAGCCTATTCTCTATACAGCAGTCAGAATACTCTTTTAAACATGTAAGTCAGATCATTTTACCTCTGCTCAAAACCCTCTGCCATCACAGAATCAAACGTAACATCTTTCCTGTAATTTTATTTCTTTCATTCTCATTTTTATACCTTTAATTTCCATTTCCTTGCCTAAGATCTTCAATACAATTTTGAGTGAATGTGACAATAGATACTCTTATCTTGTTATATTTTGAGACAGGGTCTTGCTCTGTCACCCAGGCTGGAGTACATTGGCATGATCTCAGCTCACTGCAACCTCCACTTCCCAGGCTCAAGTAATCCTTCCACATTAGCCTTTCAAGTAGCTGGGACTACAGGTGTGTACCACAGGCCTGGCTATTTTTTTTTTTTTTTTTTTTTTTGCCAGAGAGAGGGTTTTACTGTTTTGCTCAGGCTAGTCTTGAACTCTTGGGCTCAAGTGATCCACCTGCCTTAGCCTCCCAAAGTGCTGGGATTACAGGCATGAGCCACTGTGCCCAGCCAAATAATGTTTTTAATGGTTTACTATTAAGTATGATGTTTACTGTTTCTTGGTCACTACCTATGCCAATTAACTGTTACCACAAGAATGCCACATAACTAACCATATCAAAACTCAGTTGGCTGGGCGCAACGGCTCATGCCTGTAATCCCAGCACTTTGGGAGGCCAAGGCCAGTGGATCACTTGAGTTCAGGAGTTCAAGACCAGCCTGGCCAACATGGTGAAACCCTCTCTCTAATACAAACAACAACAACAACAAAAAAAAAAAACCCCAAAAATTAGCTGGGTGTGGTGGTGCATACCTGTAATCCCAGCTGCTCGGGAGGCAGAATGCTCAGGAGAATCACCTGAATCTGGGAGGTAGAGGTTGCAGTGGGCCGAGATCATGCCACTGCATTCCAGCCTGGGTGACAGAATGAGACTCCATTTCAAAAACAAAACAAAACAAACTCAGTAACATGAAACAACAATCATTTATTCTTATAAATCTGCGGATTGACTGGAGTTGGCATTCTAAATGAGAATTGGCTAGAGAGGTTTTGCTCTGCTCCACCTGTCTGTCATACTCCTCCTGGCACCAGCAGGATAGCCGGGAATGATCTTACGGTGATAGAAGAAGGGAAAGAAGATAAGCACAGTTGTGCAACTGCTTTTCATGTTTTTGGGTCACATCATGCCTGCCACCATTGCAATGATCAAAGGAAGTCATGTGGCCAAGCCCGAAATACACTCTTTCTATAAAGGTTGGAAGGGAGAAAATATTTCTAAACTATGGTACATTACATTTTCTCAATTTACATCTTTTTATGTTGCCTATATTTCTAAACTATGGTATATCACATTTTCTCAATTTACATCTTTTTATGTTGCCTATCTCTTAACAGGTTACTGTAGTTATTATTTTGGATAGATTTGTCTTTTAGTCTTCCCACTTAGAGGTATGAATGGATCATACATCACAATTATGAATTATGATATTAACTTTTTTTTTTTTTTTAGACAGAATCTTACTCTGTTGCCCAGGCTGGAGTGCAGTGGCGCAATCTTGGCTCACTGCAACCTCCCCTCCTGGGTTCAAGCGATTCTCCTGCTTCAGCCTCCCAAGTAGCTGGGATTACAGGTGCATGCCACCACGCCCAGCTAAGTTTTGTATTTTTAGTAGAGGCAGGGTTTCACCGTGTTGGCCAGGCTTGTCTCGAACTTCTGGACTCAAGTGATCCACCCACCTCGGCCTCTCAAAGTGCTGGGATTACAGGCGTGAGCCACCCTGCCTGGCCACAATATTAAACTATTCTGAATGTATCTATGTACTTACTTTTACCAGTGGGTTTTTTGCCTTCAAATGTTTTCTTTTTTCATGTTAGTATCCTTTTCTTTTAGATTGAAGAATTCTCTTTAGCATTTCTTGTAAGATGGAACTAATAGTGATGAATTCTCTCAGCTTTTATCTCTCATATCTGAAGGAAAGTTTTGCTGGGCATAGTATTCTTGGTTGACAGTTTTTTTTGTTTTTTTTTTTTTTCCTTCAGCACTCTGAATGTGTTATCCCACTCCCTCCTGGCTTGTGTGGTTTCCTCTATGCACCTGGGTATATCTTTCTCTAGGTTTGGCAAGTTTTGTGTTATCATTTCTTTGAATAAGGTTTGTACCCCTTGTTCTTTTTAAACTCCCTTTTGAACACCAATGACTCTGAGATTTGCACTTTTGAGGTTATTCCTTATATTTTGTAGGTGTTCATTGTTCCTTTTCATGCTTTTTTCTTTTTTCTGTTCTGTGTATTTTCAAATAGCATGTCTTCAAGCTCAATTATTTTTTTCCTCTGCTTATCCATTCTGCTGTGGAGAACCTCTAATGCATCTTTCAGTTCAGCAGATATATTGGTCAGTTCCAGGATTTCTGTTTAATTTTTTTTTTTGAGACAGTTTTGCTCTTTTTGCCTAGATTGGAGTGCAGTGGTGTGATCTTGGCTCACTGCAACCTCCACCTCCCAGGTTCAAGTAATTCTTTTGCCTCAGCCTCCCAAATAGCTGGGATTACAGGCATCTGCCACCATGCCCGGCTAATTTTTTTGTATTTAGTAGACATGGGGTTTCACCATGTTGGTCAGGGTGGTCTCCAATTCTTGACCTCAGGTGATCCACCCGCCTTGGCCTCCCAAAGTGCTGGGATTACAGGTGTGAGCTACTGCACCCAGCCTCTGTTTAATATATTAAAAAGTATTTTTTGTTGTTGTTTTTTTCAAATCTTTATTTTATGTACAAAGAACTATCATGGTCTTTCATTGAGCAGATGCCTTGGATAATCCTTTGAAGGAAGATAATTTAGTCCAACTTAATGAAACCGATATCCTTCGTGTACTGACGGAAACACTGGCGGCACATATTGAGGCCCTATTTCCAGATCAGACCGTGCCGGTTTGAACAGACGCGACAAGAGGGAGAACCCTGGCCGAATTTTCGCAGGTGGCTCCAGTACAACTGCTGGTGACCCATCTTGCTCTCAGGAGTGCAACGAGGTAAAAGGTTAAAAAGTCTTTCTAAGTTTCTCTGATACATTTCTGAATTGTTCTTCTGTGTTATCTCAGAGTTCACTGAGTTTCCTTAAAACTGCTATTTTTAATTCTTGATCTAAGAGTTCAACATTGCTGTCTCCTTAGGGTTGGTCACTGGCTCCTTTCTTTGTTTGGGGAGCTAGGGTTTCCCTGTTGGCTGTTGTTTTTTTTGTGGATGTACATCTATGGCTTTGCATTAATAGATTGTTATTTATTCTAGTCTTCACTGGCTGACTTGTTTAGGTCTTTCTAGGGTATGTTTGCTTAGAGGTTCTTTGCAGTTGCCCAGTGAGTCCCCTTATTCCTAGATCACCATCTCCTTTTTGGTAATAGATGGTGCCTTAAGCCCAGGTTTGCCTTGGCTCTTGCAAACATTCAGAGCACTGCCCGTCTCAAATGGGGTTGTAGGGGGAGGTCCCAAAGGGAATGTGGGGAGGCTGGCTAGGCGTTTGTGACCGGAAAACCTGTGGAGTATTTCTCTTAACAGTGTGGAGCTATTGAGAAGTCACTTTAATTTGGCATCTCCTTTGGCTGAGATGAAGAACAGAGTTACATGGGCTAGGGTTGCTAGTCCTGTCTCCTCTCTTTGTTTCTAGCTGTTCTTGGGGATTTTTTCTTCTACAGGCACTTGTGATGCCTCCTGTGGGTTGAAGCAGGAATGGTTTTCCTGCAAGGGAATGCAAGATGATGGGAAAGCTGGTTGTCTACCTCAGTCTCACATTTTCTGGTGTAGAAACTGTGAACCCAGGAGCAATTTTCCATGTGTGGTGCCTGGAAAACTGAGTGAGGGTTGTCACAGATAGAGAAGTCTGTTTCTCTATCTGCTCAAAGTTTTTCCACTTCTGTGTCCCTGGGGATTGTCTCAGCCTCATATTTGAGTTCTGGGATATTGCTGATGATAATTTTGGTCCTGGATATTTGTTTTTGGTTTTCTGTGGGAGGGAGTGAAGCCAGATTACTTCTACTCTGCTATTTTGGTGGCATCAGTCTTCTACATTAATTAATTTTCTGTTAAACCAACATTGCATTTATAGGATAAATATATTGTTATATATATTTAATAACTTTCTTAGTGGTTGCTGTAGGGATTACAATAATAATCACTGGGTGGGGTAGCTTATGCCTATAATCCCAGCACTTTGGGAGGCTCAGGTGGGAGGACTGCTTGAGCCCTGGAGTTCAAGACTGACCTGGGCAGTGAGAGTGGGACCCCCAACTCTATAAAACTTAAAAAAAATTAGCCAGGTGTGGTTGCATGCACCTGTAGTCCCAGCTCCTCAGGAGTTTGAGGTCGGAGGATTGCTGGAGCCCAGGAATTTTAGGCTGCAGTGAGTTATGATCCTGCCACTGCACTCCAGTTTAGGTAACAAAGCGAGACCCTGTCTCTAAAAACAAAAAAAGAATATATAAATAAAAATTAAAAGCAATCAGTCAGACAGTTGAATTACAAAGTTTTTTTTTTTTTTTTTTTTTTTTTTTTTTTTTTTTTTGTCGAAATGGGGTTGTTCTATGTTTCCCAGGCTGGTCTTGAACTCCTGGGCTCAAATGGTCCACCTGCCTCAGCCTCCCAAAATGCTGGAATTACAGGCATGAGCCACTGCACCTGGCCAAAGATAAGATGTTGAAAGTAGCAAAAGAATAATGACTTATGATGTACAGGGGAACAACAATATGATTAATGGCTGACTTCTTAGGCCAGAAGGCATGTATGTTTAACTTTTTGAATGAATACCAAACTCCTTTTTTGTTCACTTAGTTTCAATTTCTGTTGTTTATTTTTATTTTTTTTATTTCAGTAGGTTTTTGGGGAACAGGTGGTTTTTTTTTTTTGTTAGGTGGATAAGTTCTTTAGTGGTGATTTCTGAGATTTTGGTGCACTCATCACCTGAGCAGTGTACACTGTATCCAATGTGTAGTCTTTTATCCCTTGACACCCCGTACCCTTTCCCTTGAGTCCCCAAAGTCCAAGGTATCATTCTTATGCCTTTGCGTCCTCGTTGTTTAGCTCCCACATGTAAGTGAGAACATACGATGTTTGGTTTTTCATTCCCGAGTTACTTCACTTAAAATAATAGTCTTCATTTCCATCCGGGTTGCTGTGAATGGCATTATTTCATTTCTTTTAATGGCTGAGTAGCATTCCATGGTGTATATATATATGTATATATATATATATACACACACACATACATATGTAGACACATGTGTATGTATATATATACACATACATATATAGACATGTATGTATACACATATATACATACACATATACATATATATACACGTATATATAGGGGTGTGTGTATATATATATATATACACACACACACACACACACATTTTCTTTACTGGTTGATTGATGGGCATTCAGGCTGGTTCCATATTTTTGCAATTGCAAATTGTGCTGCTAAAAATGCCTGTGCAAGTATCTTTTTCGTATAATGACTTATTTTCCTCTGAGTAGATACCTAGTAATGGGATTGCTGGATTAAATGGTAGTTCTACTTTTAGTTCTATAAGGAATCTCCACACTGTTTTCCACACTAGTACAACTAGTGGTTGTACTAGTTTACATTCCCACCAACAGTGTAAAAGTGTTCTCATTTCACTGCATCCACGCCGACGTCTAATTATTATTATTATTATTATTATTATTATTATTATTATTATTTTGAGATGGAGTTTTGCTCTTGTCACCCAGGCTGGAGTGCAATGGCATGATCTTGGCTCACTGCACCCTCCGCCACCTGGGTCCAAGTGATATCTCCTGCCTTAGGCTCCTGAGTAGCTGGGATTACAGGTGCCCACCACCACGTCCAGCTAATTTTTGTATTTTTAGTAGAGACGGGGTTTCACCATGTTGGCCAGGCTGGTCTCAAACTTCGGACCTCAGGTGATCCACTCACCTCGGCCTCCCAAAGTGCTGGGATTACAGGTGTGAGCCACCACACCCAGCCCACATCTGTTATTTTTTGATTTTTTAATTATGGCCATTCTCGCAGGAGTGAGGTGGTATTGCACTGTGGTTTCAATTTACATTTCCCTGATACTTAATGGTGTTGAGCATTTTTCCCTATGCTTGTTTGCCATTTGTATGTCTTCTTTTGAGAACTGTCTATTCATGTTCTTAGCCCACTTTTTGATGGGATTGTTTTTCACTTTTCTTTTCTTTTTTTTTTTTTTTTTTTTGAGACGAAGTCTTGCTCTGTCACCCAGGCTGGAGTGCAGCAGCACAATCGGCTCACTGCAATCTCTGCCTCCTCAGTTCAAGCCATTCTCCTGCCTCAGCCTCCCCAGTAGCTGGGATTACAGGTGCGCACACCACTAGGCCCAGATAATTTTTGTGTTTTAGTAGAGACGGGGTTTCACCATGTTGGCCACGCTGGTCTCAAAGTCCTGACCTTGTGATCTGCCCGCCTTGGCCTCCCAAAGTGCTGGGATTATAGGTGTGAGCCACCGTGCCCGACCCTGGGATTGTTTTTTGTTTTTTTTTTTTTCTTGATGATTTGTTTGGGTTCTTTGTAGATTCTGGATATTAGTCCTGTGTCAGATGTATAGATTGTGAAAAATTTTTCCCACTCTGTGGGTTGTCTGTTAACTCTGCTGATTATTTCTTTTGCTGTGCGGAAGCTTTTTAGTTTAATTAAGTCCTATCTATTTATCTTTATTTTTGTTACATTTGCTTTTGGGTTCTTGGCCATGAAGTCTTTGCCTAAGCTAATGTCTAGAAGGGTTTTTCTGATGTTATCTTCTAGAATCTTTATGGTTTCAGGTCTTAGATTTGTCTTTTATCCATCTTAAGTTTTTTGTATAATGCGATTTTTGTATAACGTGAGAGATGAGAATCTGGTTTTATTCTTCTACAGTTGGCTTGCCAACTATCTCGGCATCATTTGTTGAATAGGGTGTCCTTTCCCCACTTGATATTTTTTGTTTGCTTTGTCAAAGATCAGTTGGCTGTATTTGGCTTTATTTCTGGGTTCTCTATTCAGTTCCATTGGTCTGTGTGCCTATTTTTTTTTGAGACGGAGTTTTTGCTCTTGTTGCCCAGACTGGATTGCAGTGGCACAATCTTGGCTCACTGCGACCTCCGCCTCCCAGGTTCAAGTGATTCTCCTGCCTCAGCCACCCAAGTAGCTGGGATTAAAGGCACCTGCCACCACACCTGGCTAATTTTTTGTATTTTTAGTGGAGAGGGGGCTTCTCTATGTTGGCCAGACTGGTCTTGAACTCCTGACCTCAGGTGATCCACCCGCCTTGGCCTCCCAAAGTGCTGGGATTAGAAGCATGAGCTACTACGCCTGGCCATATGTGCCTATTTTTATACCAGTATCATACTGTTTTGGTGACTATGGCCTTATAGTATATTTTGAAGTCAGGTAATGTGATATCTCCAGATTTTTTTTTTTTTTTTTTTTTTTGCTTAATCTTGCTTTGGCTATGCAGGCTCTTTTTTGGTTCTGTATGAATTTTAGGATTTTTTTTTTCTAGCTCTGTGAAGAATGATGGTGGTGTTTTGATGGGAATTGCATTGAATTTGTAGATTGCATTTAGCAGTATGGTCATTTTCACAATATTGATTCTACCCATCCATGAGCATGGGATGTGTTTCCATGTTTTTGTGTTATCTATGATTTCTTTCAGCAGTGTTTTGTAGTTTTCCTTGTAGAGGTCTTTCACCTTCTTTGTTAGGTATATTTATAAATATTTTATTTTTTTTGCAGCTATTGTGAAAGGGGTTGAGTTTTTTATTTTATTCTCAGCTTGGTCACTGTTGGTGTATAGCAGAGCTACTCATTTGTGTACATCAATTTTGTATCCTGAAACTTCACTGAATTCAAATTTTGTATGAATCTTTAGGGTTTTCTAGGTATACGATCATATCATCAGTAACAGAGACACTTTGACTTCCTCTTTACTAATTTGGATGCCTTTTCTTTCTTTCTCTTTTCTGATTGCTCTGGCTAGCACTTCCAGAACTATGTTGAATAGAAGTTGTGAAAGTGGGCATCCTTGTCTTGTTCTAGTTCTAAGGTGGAACGCTTTCAACTTTTCCCCATTCAGTGTAATGTTGGTTGTGGGTTTGTTGTAGATGGCTTTTATTACCTTAAGGTATGTCCCTTCTGTGCCAGTTTTGCCGAGGGTTTTAATCATAAAGGGATGCTGGATTTTGTCAAATGCTTTTTCTGTGTCTATTGAGATGACCATGTTTTATAAATTTGGGAACTCCAGTGTTAGGTGCATATATATTTAGAATTGTGATATTTTCCTGTTGGACTAGTTCTTTTATCATTATATAATGTTCCTCTTTGTCTTTTTAAATGGCTGTTGCTTTAAAGTTTGTTTTGTCTGATATAAGAATAGCTATTCCTGCTTGCTTTTGGTGTCCATTTGCATGGCATATCTTTTTCCACCCCTTTACCTTAAGTTTATGTGAATCCTGTGTACTAGGTGAGTCTCCTGAAGACAGCAGAAATTTGGTTGGTTAATTCTTATGCATTCTGCCATTCCGTATCTTTTAAGTGGAGCATTTAGGCCATTTACATTCAATGTTAGTATTGAGATATGAGGTACTAGTCTATTCGTCATGCCATTTTGCCTGAATACCTTTTTTTATTGTATTATTGTCATATAGGTCCTGTGAGATTTATGCTTTAAGGAGATTCTATTTTGGTGTATTTTAAGGATTTGTTTCAAGATTTAGAGACCCTTTTAGCAGTTCTTGTAGTGCTAGCTTGGTAGTGGCGAATTCTCTCAGCATTTGTTTGTCTGGAAGAGACTATCTTTCCTTCATTTATGAAGCTTAGTTTTGCTGGATACAGAATTCTTGGCTGATAATTGTTTTGTTTAAGGAGACTGAAAATAAGACCCCAATCCCTTCTAGATTGTAGGGGTTTCTGCTGAGAAATCTGCTGTTAATCTGATAGGTTTTCCTTTATAGTTTACCTGATGCTATTGCCTCACAGCTCTTAAGATTCTTTCCTTTGTCTTGACTTTAGATAACCTGATGACTATGTGCCTAGGTGATAGTCTTCATGCGATGAATTTCCCAGGTATTCCTTGAGCTTATTGTATTTGGATGTCTAGATCTCTAGCAAGGCCAGGGAAGTTTTCCTCAATTATTCCCTCCAATATGTTTTCCAAACTTGTAGTTTTTTGTTTTGTGTTATTTTGTTTTTGAGACGGAGGTTTGCTCTTGTTGCCCAGGCTGGAGTTCAGTGGTGTGATCTTGGCCCACTGCAACCTCTGCATCCCAGGTTCAAGCAGTTCTCCTGCCTCAGCCTCCCGAGTAGCTGGGATTACAGGCATGCACCACCACACCCAGCTAATTTTGTATTTTTAGTAGAGATGGGGTTTTACCATGTTGGTCAGGCTTGTCTGGAACTCCTGACCTCAGGTGATCCACTCGCCTTGGCCTCCCAAAGTGCTGAGATTACAGGTGTGAGCCACCACGCCTGGTCTCTAGAGGGTATTTAAACCCCAGAAAATTCTGTAACTGATGCTCTTGAGCCACTTGCTTGAGCCCACTCCTACCCTATGGGGTGTGCTTTTACTTAAAATAAGTTTCTGCTTTTACTGCCTTGCTTTGTGTGTTTTGTCTGATTATTTGTTCAAAACGCCAAGAACCTGGACAACTACCCTCAACCAGTAACACTATTGCTCATTTATTTCTGGTGTTCTTGGGTCTTACGGGGTTATAGACTGTGTGACTCCTGGAGGGGAAAGGGTGGCCAACATACAGTCACCTCTGTTTCATGTTTTTGATATACAAGGGAAAGCTATTCTTAAAAGAACAGGTGACTCCCCAGGGAGTCAGGAGTGGTTACAGGGCATGACTTCTTCCCACTCATGGCCACAAACAAAAACAAGCCCAGTTGGAGCACAAACAGGGTCCCTACGGGGTGCGATGCCTACCCTTTGCTGCCAAGTTGTGTCTATAGAGATATTTTTCCCTGTTCTAATTGGGGTGGTTGAACAATCTTTGTTTTCCAAAAGGGGAGGAGGTACTCCCACCTTCCCAGACTAAATAGTTGTTTTTCTCCCATGTGTTCCTTTTTTTTTTTCTCCTGTATGTTCTGATCCAGGGGAAGGAACCATAGATGGTCTCATTGCTTACAAGTTCTATCCCATTTACTTTGCTGTGGCATTGGGAACTTGGCAACTAAGGCTGGATCAGAGCATTGCAGGAAACTTGGCTTTTGTGTCATTAACACAACACTGGGTGCCAAAGATAGAATCATTAGTGCACTAGAAGTATAGATACCCAACTTTCCAGGTCCACATAATAGCAGTGAGGGGGTTCAGGTGGAACCCATTAAGTGGGGGAGAGTTCCATCTAACAAGTAATAGTCTGGGGAGAGGCAGTGAGATTTTTCCGGGTAGGCCTTATGGACTTGCTTTTTAATCAGCTGTAACTCTGCCTCAGCCTCCTTTGTTAATTGTTGAGGGCTAGTGAGACTAAGATCTCCTCTAAGGATAGAAAATAGATTACTCATGGCATAGGTAGGAATGCCTAGAGCAGGTTGTGTCCAATTAATGGTCTTTAGTCATTTTTGAAAGTCATTTAATGTTTTCAATTGATCTCTACGTATGGTTACTTTCTGTGGCACAATTGTAGTGTCATTTACTAAGGTCCCCAAGTAGGAGTAAGGAGTAGTAGTCTGAAATTTGTCAGGGGCTATAATTAAACTGGCAGGAAAAATCAAGTTTTGCAAGTGATCATAACATTGGAGTAATATTTCTCGAGTGGGGGCAGCACAAATTATATCTTCTATACAATGAGTAATGTAACACTGTGGAAATTTTTTACGAGTCGGTTCAATTGCTTGTCTTACATAAGTCTGGCAAATTGTTGGACTGTTCAACATGCCTTGAGGCAACACTTTCTAATGAAAATGCTTAGCAGGCTGCAGGTTGTTTACTGCAAGAATTGTAAATGCAAACCATTCAGTCTTGCTTAGCTAAGGGGATAGTAAAGAAACAGTCTTTTAAATCTATGACTATTAAAGACCAGTTTTTTGGAATCATAGCAGGAGAAGGCAGTCCTGGCTGTAATGTCCCCATAGGTTGTATAATTGAATTAATGGCCCTTAAGTCAGTTAACATTCTCCATTTACCTGATTTTTTCTTAATTATGAAAACTGGAGAATTCCAAGGGGAAAATGTTGGAGCTATGTGTTCTTTTTCTAATTGTTCAGTAACTAAGTCCTCTAAAGCCTCCAGTTTCTCTTTACTCAGTGGCCATTGTTCTATCCAAATTGGCTTATTCATTAACCATTTTAAAGGTATAGGTTCTGGAGGCTTAAAAATGGCCGCCATCAAAAATAATAATCTTAAACCTTGGTGGGAAATTTGTCTTTCCGCTTGAAGCGGTTCCTTCGAACTTTGCAAATTTTTTCCTAGTCCCGTACCAGGAACATACCCCATTTTATGCATCATATGTTGACTTTGAGGGCTGTATAATTGTTCTGGAATTAGAACTTGTGCTCCCCATTGTTGTAATAAATTTATAGGTACAGAAGTTATAATTGGTTGAATAGTCCAGGTTGTCCATTGGGCCCTTCACAATGCAAAATATAACTACTTTAATATACTTCAGGGGCTTTACCAACTCCAACTATGTTAAATTGAGCGGGTTGAATTGGCCACGTGGACGGCCAGTGCTGTAGATAAATGATTGAAACGTCCACTCCTGTATCTACCAAACCTTTAAATTTCTTTCCCTGAATAGTTATTTCACAGGTAGGATGTTTATCAGTAATTTGATTCACCCAATAAACTGCTTTGCCTTGTTTATTTGTGCTTCCAAATCCTCCTGTTCATTTAATTTCACTTTTCCCCATTTCTACATATGGCACAATCAGGAGTTGTGTTATATGCTGTCCTGGCTCTGCTTTCCAGGGAACAGAAGTAGATATAACAACGTGAATTTCCCCATTGTAATGTGAATCAGTGACTCCTGTTTGTACTTGCACTCCTTTTAAATTTAAACTAGACCTGTCTAGAAGTAATCCTATTGTCCCAGCTGGCAAGGGTCCACAGACCCCTGTTGGAACTTTTTTGCAGAGGTTCCCCAGGCAGAAGGCTCCACAGCTTTTGTGCAGCATAAATCTACTGCGGCACTACCGGCTGTGGCAGGGGACAGACATTGTATAGGGGTGAGGGAATGGCCTGAGCCGGAAATGCCCCGGTTTGGAACGGGCCTGGGACGGGCCCTGAACGGGCCCCTCATGGCATTTCCCGAAATTGGGTTTCCATCCTTATCAAATTTAGAATGATGCTGATTGGCCCAATGTTTTCCTTTTTTACACTTCAGGCATATACCTGGTTCATACTGATAGCCTGTTTAAACTCTTTAAGTAATTTAAAGAGAAAAGCCTCAAATATAGCTATAATATTTCTCTGTTGATCTGGGGGGTATATCCTAACAGGGAACTGCCAAGCCTCTATATCACCCTCTCCTTTTCTTTCTTTTTTTTTTTTTTTGAAACGGGTCTCACTCTGTCACACAGGCTGGAGTGCAGTGGCACGATCTCTGCTCACTGCAAGCTCTGCCTCCCAGGTTCATGCCGTTCTCCTGCCTCAGCCTCCCCAGTAGCTGGGACTACAGGAGCCCGCCACCATGCCCGGCTAATTTTTTTTGTATTTTTAGTAGAGACGGGGTTTCACTGTGTTAGCCAGGATGGTCTCGATCTCCTGACCTCGTGATCCGCCCACCTCAGCCTCCCAAAGTGCTGGGATTACAGGTGTGAGCCACCAGTTCCGGCCTATATCACCCTCTCTTCTAGCTTGCTGGATTCCTGCCTGAATAGAACTGACAGCAGTCACTCGAAGAGCTGCTCGAACAGTCACTGGGGCAACTACTTTTCGCCCAGTGTCCTCCGTAAAAGAAAGATCTGGAGGGTCAGGCTGCTCTTTTTCTTCAAAATAAGGAGGGAGTGCAGAAAGGTAGGGATGAACTCTTCCTCCTTTGCCTCTTTAGCTTTAGCTGGCAAACAAACCTGCTCTGTTACCTTTTCTGTTACTTTGTTATACTCTCCTTCCTCCTCATCATCAGTGTGAAAAGGTTCCAAGGTGGGACGAACCAGAGCCCACACTTGTCCCATTGTTACCCTGATGCTTCTGAGCTCCCCTTCTTACTCACTACAGGGATTGCTTAAGAGTACTTGGGTGTCCTCCAGCTTAGTTCCACATTCTCCAACCATTGCTCCGGCAACCCTTCGATCTGGGTTCGAGCCCCACTTGCTGAGACCAGCTCCGTCGTGGAGACCCTAACCCAGCCGTGCTGGAGGAATTAAAGACACACACACAGAAATATGTAGTGTGGAGTGGGAAATCAGGGGACTCAACAGCCTGCAGAGCTGAGAGCCCCAAACAGAGTTTGACCCACATATTTATTGACAGCAAGCCAGTGATAAGCATTATTTCTATAGATTATAGATTAACTAAAAGTATTCCTTACAGGAAACAAAGGGATGGGCCGAAACAAAGGAATGGGCTCTGGCTAGTTATCTGCAGCAGCAACATGTCCTTAAGGCACGGATCGCTCATGCTATTGCTTGTGGTTTAGGAACACCTTTAAGCAGTTTTCTGCCCTGTGTGGGCTAGGTGTTCCTTGCCTTCATTCCAGTAAATCCACAACCTTCAGTGTGGGTATCATGGCCATCACGAACATGTCACAGTGCTGCAGAGATTTTGTTTATGGCCAGTTTTGGGGTCAGTTTATGGCCAGATTTGGGGACCAGTTCCCAACACATGGCTGTAATCCCAGCTACTCAGGTGGCTGAGGCACAAGAATCACTTGAACCTGGGAAGAAGAGTTACAGTGAGCCAAGATTGCACCACTGCACTTTAGCCTGGGCAACAGAGTGAGACTCTGCCAAAACAAAACAAAACAAAACAAAGAGTACCTGAGACTGGGTAATTGTAAAGAAGAGAGTTCAATTGACTCACAGTTCCACGTGGTTGGGGAAGCCTTAGGAAACTTACAATCATGGCAGAAGGCAAAGGGGAAGTAAGGCACATCTTACATGGCAGGAGAGAGAGAGAGCGAGGGAGGAAGTGCTACACACTTTTAAATCATCAGATTTCATGAGAACTCACTATCGTGAGAACAGCCTGGGGGAAATCCGCCCCTAAGATTCAACCGTGTTTCTCCCCCAACATTGGAAATTATAATTCAATATGAGATTTGGGTGGAGATACAGAGCCAAACCATAGTATTCCGCCCTGGCCCCTCCCAAATCTCATGTCCTTCTCACATTTTGAAACACAATCATGCCTTCTCAATAGTCCCCCAGAGTCCTAACTCATTCCAGCATTAACCCAAAAGTTCAAGTCCAAAGTCTCATCTGAGACAAGGCAAGTCTGTTCTGCCTATGATCCTGTAAAATAAACAAGGTAGTTCCAAGATACAGTGGGGGTATAGGCATTGGGTAAATGCTCTTATTCCAAATGGTAGAAATTGGCCAAAACAGCCGAGTACAGTGGCTTACGCCTATAATCCTAGCACTTTTGGAGGCCAAGGTGGGTAGATCACTTGAGTCAGGAGTTTGAGACCAGCCTGGCCAACATGGTAAAACCATGTTTCTACTAAAAATATGAAAATTAGCCAGGAGTGGTGGCACACACCTGTATTCCTAGCTACTGGGGAGGCTCAGGCAGGAAGATCGCTTGAACCTGGGGGATAGAGGTGGCAGTGACCCGAGATGATGCCATTGGACTCCAGCCTGGGTGACAGAGTGAGACTTCATCTCAAAAAAAAACCAAAAATAACAACAACAACAACAAAAACACAAAGGGGCTACAGGCCCCATGCAAGTCCAAAACCCAGCAGAGCAATCATTAAATCTTAAAGCCCCCATATAATTTCCTTTGACTCCATGTCTCACATCCAGGGCATACTGATGCAAAAGGTGGGCTCCCAAGGCCTTCGACAGCTCCACCCCTGTGACTCTGCATGGTATGGCCCCTTGGGGGGCTTTCATGGGCTGGGATTGAGTGCCTGTGGCTTTTCCAGGCACATGGTGCAAGCTGTCAGTGGATCTACCATTCTGGAGTCTGGGGGACAGTGGCCCTCTTCTCACAGCTCCGCTAGGCAGTGCCCCAGTGGGGACTCTTGTGGGGGGGGGTGCTCCAACTTCACATTTCCTCTCCACATTGCCCTAGTAGTGATTCTCCATGAGTGCCCTCCACTGCAGCAGAATTCTGCCTGGACATCCAAGCATTTCCATACATCCTCTGAAAACTAGGTGGTGGCTTTCAAACTCTTGCCTTCTGTGCACCCACAGGTGCAACACCACATGGAAGCCACCAAGGCTTGGGGCTTGCACCCTCTGAGGCCACAGCCTGAGCTGTACCTTGGCCCCTTTGAGCCATGGCTGGAACTGAAGTGGCAGGGTACCATGTCCTGAGGCCGCACTGAGCAGTGGGGCCCTAGGCCCAGCCCATGAAACCATTTTTCTCTCTAGGCCTCTGGGCCTGTGATGAGAGAGGCTGCTGTGAACATCTCAGAAATGTCCTGGAGGCATTTTCCCCATTGTCTTAGTGATTAACATTTGGCTCTTCTCTACTTATGCAAATTTCTGCAGCCAGCAGCTTGAATTTCTCCCAAGAAAATGGGTTTTTCTTTTCTACCACATAATCAGGCTGCAAATTTTCTAAACTTTTATGCTCTGCTTCTCTTTTAAACATAAGTTCCAATTTCAGACCATCTCTTTGTGAACACATATGACTGTACACTGTTAGGAGCAGCCAGGTCACATCTTGAACACTTTCTTTCTTAGAAATTTCTTCCACCAGATATCCTAAATCATCTCTCTCAAGTTCAGAGTTCCACAGATTCCTTAGAGCAGAGGCACAATGCCACCTGTCTCTTTGCTAAAGCATAGCAAGAGTGACCTTTGCTCCAGTTCCCAATAAATTCCTCATCTCCATCTGATCATCTCCATCTGAGATTACCATCTCAGATTTCACCGTCCATATCACTATCAGCATTTTGGTCAAAACCATTCAACAAATCTCTAGGAAGTTCCAAACTTTTCCCACACCTCCCTGTCTTCTTCTGAGCCCTCTAAACTGTTCCAAACTCTGCCCATTACCCAGTTCTAAAGTCACTTCCACATTTTCAGGTATCTTTACCCTACTCTTGGTACCAATTTTCTGTGGTCTGTTTTCACAATGCTATAAAGAAACTACCTGAGACTGGGTAATTTATAAAGAAAAGAGATTTAATTGACTCACAGTTCCACATGGCTAGGGAGCCCTCAGTAAACTTACAATCATGGTGGAAGGCAAAGGGGAAGCAAGACACATCTTACAATGGTGGTATGAGAGTGAGTTAGCAAAGTGGGGAAGTGCTACACACTTTTAAACCACCAGATCTTGTGAGAACTGAGTCACTATGATGAGAACAGCATGGGGGAAATCCGCCTTCATGATTCAGTCACCTCCCATCAGGTCCCTCCCCCAATACTGGAAATTACAATTCAACCTGAGATTTGGGTGGGGACACAGAGTCAAACCATATCAGAAGGGTAGTGGGGAATTGCTGGGGGAGGGTGGGGATGGTGAATGGGTACAAAAATAGAATGAATTAGGCCCATTATTTGATAGCACAATGGGGTGACTATAGTCAATAATTTAATTGTATATTTTAAAATAAAGAGTGTAATTGGATTGTTTGTAGCTCAAAGGATGCTCGAGGGGATGGGGACCCCATTCTCCATGTTGTGCTTATTTCACATTGCATGCCTGTATCAAAACATCTCCTGTACCCCAGAAATATATACACCTACTATGTACCCACAAAAGTTAAAAAGAAATTCTGAAATGCCCATCAGACATTGGCATTCAATGGATGAGAACCATTCCACCATTTTAGGATTTTAAACCTCACATTAAGCTCACTATTTAAGCATGTATTCCATTCATATATACTTAACCTTTTTACTTTTAACAATTGTATCTAGCCCACCTCCCAGAACCAAGATACCATGCAAAGCTAGTCACCATTTAAAGCCATTTTAACCATTTTAAAGCCTATGAACATCAGTGATTTACCTATGTAAAAATTCTTAAATTTTAGAAGACACAACATCCTCTTCAAACTAATAAGCTTAGACTAGTCTTATTTATGAGTGCTTGTTTGTTTATAAGCCAATTTGATAGCATGCTAGACACAATGCTCATCACCATACCTGTATATACACCTAAACAAGCACATTAAATAAAACGACTTATATAAGACAGCTGGATTCAAGTTAGTTTCACAATTGGAACCCATCTACCTAGCCAAATGTTGTTTGCCCAGATAGGTTTGGAAGACAGGAAGAGGCAGGGAAGGGGATCCTATAGCATCAAATAAGGAAGGGAAGGTGCAACCTGCATTGCTCAAGGGGAGATTCTGGAGTCCCTGAGCTGCTGGAGAGCTCACCCAGCAGCCAAGACACCAAAGAGAAATGTTTGGGCAGCCACTTATCTGCCACTGTGGGAAGCTGTCAGTTAGGCCAAGGGGCTGAGAACTTTAGTAACCTTACTTGAGCAAGCAACTTGTTGGGGCTAGTGGAAGGTTAGCTCTACTATTGATAGGGAGCCTTTTCCTCTCTCACCGGGGATGGTTAGGATGCTGTGATTGCCAGTGGCCTTTTTGCTTATAGTAGGCACACTGATCGTGGCCCAGGGACCAGTGAGTCGAGGGATCTTTTCTGGGCATCCCAGATGCCGATCTCGCAACGCTTTCTTGGGATGGGTAATTCTGAGATGGCAGGGGGCTTAAAGTAACTGTTAACAATTGCACTTTTTGGCTCTTTCTTTTTTTCTTTTTTTTTTTTAACCTCTTTTGCTTCATCCCTATTGTCGTAAACTTTAAAGGCCGAATTTGAGTTGGCTCATAGGGATTTGAGGTCCCATTGCTGCTTTCTGTAGCTTCCTGCTAATGTCAGGGGCAGATAGAGTAATAAAATGTAACGCAGGAGAGCTTGCCCTTCTGGGGAGTCTGAATCTGCATTAGTATATTTCCTGAGTGCGTCAACAAAATGACCCTGAAGCAGAGTGGGATTTTTATCTTTTCGCTGAGTTATTTTTCTAACCTTGTCATCTTTAGCTGGCTTAACCACATACTTTTTTCTCCACTTTTTTTCCCCATGGCACAACAAGCAGATGACAATACTTGCAAGTCATGACAAATTAAATCAAAGAATGTGGTCAACTTAAACTCCTCTGAAAACTGGCCAAAGTTCTCCTTGTATAAAGCCAAATTAGACATAAAAAATGGCACATGCACTCCAGGTGTCCCCCCCATTTCCATGGGCTACCTCCCACAATGGACACAGTTTGACTTTAGGGGCAGTCCCACTCCTGGTGGTACTGGTTGGGCATACTTTCTTGGGCAGTTGGGGGTATAGGCTGAGGCTAATTGGAAAAGGGGGAGAGGTGCCTGATGACCTTGGGGTGGAGTCCTTTGTTAGAGAACTGGTGGGACCCGCCTCACAATTGGGAGACTGAGGAGATTCCAGGGAGGGCATAGACCTTCTAGGGGGAGCAGCTAGGAGGAGATCCCTTAGATGTGGCTTTCTGGTGCCTTAACTAATGTGAGCCAGTAAAGGGTCATAATAGCCCTTTACTGTACATAAGGGACCTCTTCCGATTTTCCTTCTTTTTTACAGAAAAAGTCCAACTGTAAAATATCATAGCATATAAAACCATGTTTAGGCCATATCTGTTGGTTTTATAGTTTGTATTGAACCCAAACGGTTTTGCAATAGAAAATGAATTTTTCTTTAAGCTGAATTAGCCTGAAGGGCGTCCTAATGGTGAGTTATCTGGAATACTCATCATTGTCCCCATGATTAACAAGGATTTTTATGCGCACAAATTTTTCTAAGCAAGAGGGAAAGTAACTAGGCCCTTGTTATTTTTCCCTTTTAGATTCCCACTCCCTGTAGAGAAGGTTTAAGTATAGGTAAGAAGGCATTACAAAAGTGGATTACAAGCCACAAAAGGGCAGTAGAATGTTGAGCTTAAATTCCACAGAGTGAGGGTTGTTCAGAGAAGGCGGCTAAACACATGGAGACTGTGGAAGAGAGGAAGGGAAGGGGATAAGCAGCGTTGCCTGAGGAGAGACCGCAGAGGCCCTGACTTGCCAGAGACCCTTCCCAGTAGTGGAGACACCAAAAAAAAAAAAATAATAATAATAATGTTCAGGTGGCCACTCGTCTACCGCTGTTGAGTGGTTGTCCATCAGGCCAGGGGCCTGGGAACTCCTGGTCCGTTTGATGTAGAGGGGCTTGAGCAAAGCAGTTCTAAGACAGAATACGGTAAGGGGCTTGCAACTGGCTGTCAGGAAAACAATAACTTCTAACTTCAGGGCAGAAAAAGTTGATACCAATATTCCCGTAGTGGGTGGGGCTATAACCTATAATCCTAGAGGGAATGTCAATCCTGAAAACCCCAGAGCATCTGGGAGTGGCCTATCATACCAATGCTGGAAACCCAGAGTGCCTGTTTCAGCCAATGAGGGTCCCCTCACCAAATGCCAAAAACCTGGGGGCACCAAGGGAGTGGCCAACAGTGAACCCAAGACCAAGTTGGGGTCATAGAACAATGTGACTCTGGTGTCCCAGAGTTGACGCAACAGAGCACAACTAAACATCCAGCCTTAAACAATTGCTCAAACACAGTTAACAGAAAGTCAAAAGGAAACATAACGCTTCAAATGAAACGTAAATTTTTGGACTCGAAATAAAAATAAAATGATTGGTGGAACAATAATATGGAGTCAGAGAAGAAAGCACAGGGGGGAGAGGTCACAAGGATGTGCCTCAGGGCACTCATACTGTGGGGGACTTTTAACCACTTAGCCGAAGGCTTTTTATTCCCCAGCTCACTAGATGTTATGGAGTAGGGGAAGAAGGGACACTTACCCATCCATAGGAGCCAAATGGCACCAGCCAGTCTTTCATGTGGGACCCTGGTGAAGGTCCCTCCAGGACCCCCCAGCTTGGGTGGGCTCAGCTGTCACACAGGGGGCAAGCATAGGGACTGGTAACCCACTGGCCTGCCATGGTCAGAGCTCACATGAGGCAGTGACATTATGGCCATTAGTGTGTCTGCTTGGCCCTGCCGCCTGCCAGGGAAAATGATGGCTCTGAAAAGAGCCTTTGGTTAGTGTTAGCAGCTCTTTATTGTTACAGCCTCAGTGTTATAGCTCTTGCAGCCTTGATCACAGACCGCTTTGCGGTCTCTCGCTGTCTCTGCTTGGTCTTGTCAGTCTCTCACTGTCTTCCCAGTTGCTGTCTCTCATAGTCGTCACCTCTCCACTGACCGCTGATTGCCACCGTCTCTGCTGTCCCACCATCTCACCTGTCTGCTGACTGCCACTGTCTCCACTGACTTGCTGCCTCTTGCTCATTATCTTTTTCCTTTCATTGATCACCAGATGATGGGAGGGCAGGTGAGCCCCCAAATTGGGGCTTAGCCTTGGGAGGTTCTTAGCTTTGCCCAGGAAAGAAAATCCAAGGATGAGCCAGTGGTGTTAGACAGCAACTTTTATTGAAGCAGCAGTGTATACTTAAAAAATTTGGTAACAGAGTACATCTTTCTTTTCCCATTATGCTCTTCCAAGATCCTAATAAACCTGCAGAGGTACTGGTCCTTGTGGAGCAGGGCTGTCCTATAGGCTGTATGCTCAGAGCAGCAGCTCAGAGGCAGTGCTGCATTCAGATTTATACCCACTTTTAACTACATGCAAATTAAGGGGTGGACTATGCAGTAATTTCTGTATGTAAAGGGTGGTAACTTCCAGTTCATTGGGTCATTGCTGTGGAAAGGGGTGGTAACTTCTGGGTGTTGTCATGGCAATGGTAAACTGACATAGCACACTGGTGGCCATGTCATATGGAAAACCACTTCTGCCCCATCCCTGTTTTAGCTAGTCCTCAATTTGGTCCGCTGCTGAGCCCTGCCTCTGGAGTCCAGTCCCACCTCCTACCTCATTATCTTGATAGTATTTCAGACTACTCAGGTAGAGTGAATTCCATCTGCAAATCACGCATGAGCCAGCTTGTAGTTATGAAGTTTTAGGGGAAATATGTCCCCCTTTTTCACTTGGTACCAAGTTTTGAGATAGGCAATTTTCTTTGTAGTCCCCTGAGGAAGGATTTGGGGGGCAGATGGATTTCTAGGGGCAAGGTGGGGTGCGGTGACTCATGTGTATAATCCCAGCACTTTGGGAGGCCAAGACAGGCGGGTCACTTGAGGTCAGGAGTTTGAGACCAGCCTGGCCAACATGGTGAAAGTTAGTCTCTACTAAAGTAAATACAAAAATTAGCTGGGTGTAGTGGCGGCGCCTGTAATCCCAGCTACTGAGGTGGCTGAAGCATGAGAATTGCTTGAACCCAGGAGGCGGAGGTTGCAGTGAGCCGAGATTGCACCACTGCCCTCCAGCCTGGGTGACCGAATGAGACTCCATCTCAAAGAAAAAGAAAAAAAAGACTAAAGGGACATAACTTGATGCATGCCAGTTTTATGCAGGAAAAATTTTCTGTTAGACTCTCCATCTTGGGTGGTCACTGAGTTTTATCTCCTTTTCTCAGTACTTCATGAACCTGTGAAAATGAACCTCCAAGTTTGTGTGGCTTGGCCAATGCCATTAAGCCAAAAGTGCCTTCTATCCTTTGCCTAGTTTTTGGCCTCTGATGATTTCCCTTTTTAAAAAATCACTTTATTGACATACAGAAAGTTGTACAGCAGGTTCTCAAATGATGTTTCACTCACTGTTGTTACTTTATAACATTGATATGAAAAAATATTTTATTTTTATCATTTTTTAAACTTTTTATTTTTATAGAGACCGGGTCTCTGTCACCCAGACTGCAGTGTGGCGGTGTGATCATAGCTCACTTACAGCCTCAAACTCCTGGGCTCAAACGGTCCTCCCACCTCAGCCTCCTGAGTAGCTGGGACTACAGGTGTGTACCACCTTGCCTGGCTAATTAGTCCAGATAATTAATTTTAATTAAATTAATTTTTTAAATTTTATTTTTTATTTTTGTAGAGAGGGGGGTCTCCCCGTCTTGCCTAGGCTGGTCTTGAACCCCTGGGCTCAAGTGATCCTTCCACCTCAGCCTCGTAAAGTATGGGGATTACAGGCGTGAGCCGTTGCACCTGGCCAGGGGAAAAAAAGGTTGATTCAGGCCAGGACCACTGTCTATATGGAGTTTGCATGCTCTCCTCATGTACGGTAAACTCTCGTACCCATCATTTCACATCATTTCTCTGAAAGTTGCAATTTCCAAGAACCTATTGACAATACTGAGGACTTACAATACATATTTAGTGTATACAGCTTGAACTTGGAGGTAAGTATAGAACCATGAAACCAGCGCTATAGTCAATGCCGTAAACATATCCATCATCTCCAAAAGTTTCCTCCTGCCCAATTTATTTAGTGATAAGAACACTTAATATAAGATCTACCATCTTATGGTTTATTAGTATCTTAGAAGAGCATAATGGAAAAAAAATCTACCCTGTTAGCAAATTTTTAAATATACATTTTTCAGTATAATTTAAAAAAAATTTTATAATAATACAATATTATTAACTATAGGCTCTAAGCACAATGTTGTGCAGTAGATGTCTAGGACCTACTCCTCTTGTATAACCAAAACTTTGCACCCTTTGATGAATACCTCCCCCTTTCTGTCTCTCCATAGCTTCTGGTAATGGCCATTCTGCTCTGCTTCTATGAGTTCGACCTTTTTTTTTTTTTTTTCCTTTGAGACAGTGTCTCACTCTGTCACCCAGGCTGGAGTGCAGTGGCATGGTCTCGGCTCACTGCAACTTCCACCTCCCAGGTTCATGCAATTCTCCTGCCTCAGCCTCCCCAGTAGCTGAGATTACAGACATGTGCCACCACCCCTAGCTAATTTTTGCATTTTTAGTAGAGATAGAGTTTCACCATGTTGGCCAGGCTGGTCTTGAACTCCTGACCTCAAATGTTCCGCCTGCCTTGGCCTCCCACACTGCTGGGATTACAGGCATGAGCCACCACACCTGTCCTTACGTTTTATTGTTTTTGTTTTGTGTTATTTTTGAGGGGAAGGTATGTTCTTGAAGACTCCTTTCTTTGTGAGAGCTGCAACACCTCACATGACCTATGTAATATATAGTTGATTGCTGCAGATAATCTTCTGAACTATCTGCCATAATGCTGGAAGTGGAAGTCCTCCAGTGTGTCATCTAACTGGTAATGCTGCCTAATAAAGCTATTGATATTTGAATATATTTTTCAGGTAATAAGCATCTTACAGTACTCTTATTAGTTCTCATTGTTCTTCAGTTGCTTCTCAGGATTTTGTAGTTAGGCCGATGATGATTCTTTTCTTTCTTTCTAATATTTATGGTTCTTATTAATTATTTTTGTTTTATGCATTGTCTATAGTAACTTTGAATAGTAAAGGTGATAATGAGCATTCTTGTCTTGGTTCTGACTTTTATAAAGTGAAGGACTATGAATCCGACATGCTGGCATTCATCTTATGCCCATGGCAAACAAACATAGTTAATCCTTCTTAGTACCTTTTCCTGCTAAGCTATGGCCCTGTTTCAGAAGCTCCCCAGTAACATTCCCATAAGTGACTATAGCTGATTTGATTTGGTACAACAGATAAGATTTATTTCCCAGTCCTCTCTCTGATGTTTCTTCTGGATATAGTTTGATATTGGCTATTCATTTCAAATATTCTTTATCATGTTTATATTCCTGGTTTACTAAAAGTCCTTTTTAAGGAGAATCACAAGTAGATATTTAGTTTTATAAAATACCTTTCCAATATCTGCCAGGGTGATCAAATGGCTTTTATATCCTTTGGTTTATCATATGTTAATTGCACTAAGAAATTTTCTAGTTTAATCACTGTGGTAGTTCTGGAATAAATCCTACTAGTCTCTTTTTTTTTTTTTTTTTTTGAGGGTCTCTCTCTGTTTCCCAGACTGGAATGCAGTAGCACAATCATGGCTCACTGCAGCTTTGACCTCCTGGGCTCAAGCAATCCTCCCACCTCAGCCTCCTGAGTAGCTGGGACTGCAGGAATGTACCACCACATCTGGCTAATTTTTTATTTTTAGTAGAGACAAGGTCTCACTGTGTTGCCCAGGCTGATCTCAAATTCCTGGGCTCAAGTGATCCTCCTGCCTTGGCCTCCCAAAATGCTGGGATTACGGGCATGAGCTACCACACTTGGCTCTACTAGTCTTAATGTATATTATTCTTTTACAATATTACTAGACTTGTGTAGTTCATACTATGTGCCAGACACTTGTGCTTGATGCTGAGGATATAATCATGAACAAGATAGACAGACATGGTTTCTGCCCTTACTGAGCTGTCAGTCAATTCAGGGGTGATAAAGAGCAGAACATTTGCCACCACTCCCCTCATCTGAAGCTTTGGCAGAAATCACTCAAAACATGCTGTCTTGCAGAGTCTTGGAAGATCTCAGAAAGGGGACTGGGATCCTTTATTGGCATCTGCTATGAATTGGAGGAAAGATGACAGTGATAGTAAGCATCCTGCTTTTTTGCTGTTGCTAGTTTGATGTTTTATTTGGTGGCATTTTTTATCTGTAGAACTTGTGTGAGGTTTGTTAGGTATTGAATTTGTTGTCTTGAATTAAGTTTTTGCTAATTTTGTAAATCAAGTGGCGTGTGGGTCTTTTGGTAGGGGCATCTACTTGACCACTTTTTCCATTCTTTCTTTTTCTTTTTGAGACAGGGTTTCCGTCACCCAGGCTGGAGTGCAGTGATGCAATCATGGCTCACTGCAGCCTCAGCTTCCTGGGCCGAGGTGATTTTCTCACCTCAGCATCCTGAGTAGCTAGGACTACACGCCACCATGCCTGGCTGATTTTTTAAAAATTTTTTGTAGAGATGAAGTCTTACTATGTTGCCCAGGCTGGTCTAGAACTCCTGGGCTCAAGCAATCCTGAACCTTGGCCTCCGAAAATGCTGGGATTACAGATGTGAGTCACTGCACCTGGCCCAATTCTTTCTATTGTTATTTTATTCAGATGTTCCATCATTTTGAGTTGATTTTGATTTATATTTTCCAAGACAATATTCATTCTTATTGACATTTTCTAGTTTATTTATATAGAGTTTCACTAGTATTCTTTTGTAGTTAAAACACAAATTCCTGGCTGGGCGCGGTGGCTCATGCCTGTAATCCCAGCACTTTGGGAGGCCGAAGCAGGTGGATCACGAAGTCAAGAGATCAAGACCATCCTGGCCAACATAGTGAAACCCTGTCTCTACTAAAAATACAAAAATTAGCTGGGCGTGGTGGCGCATACCTGTAATTCTAGCTACTTGGGAGGCTGAGGCAGGAGAATTGCTTGAACCCCGGAGGCGGAGGTTGCAGTGAGCCGAGATTGCGCCACTGCACTCCAGCCTGGCGACAGAGCGAGACTCCATCTCAAAAACAAAAACAAAACAAAAAAACCCCCCACAAATTCCTATGTGCCTGTTTTTAGCCACTTCCTCAATCTGTTAGGGGTGTTGTATAGTCTTTCTCTTGGCTAACTTTGCCAGCAGTTTGCTTGTTTTGTTGTTGTTTTAAACAACTCTTATAACAGTTCAATTGTTTTTCTGTTTTCTGATTTATTGGTTTCTATCAGTTTCATTCTCCTATATTTGTTAGCTTTATGACGTTCTTCTTTTTCTAGCCTTTTGAATTGACTGCTTAGTTATTAGCTAGTTAATTTAGTTAGCTGGCTAGTTGCTTTTAGACTCATTTGCCTGGCTAGTCTGTCTGCAGCCTGTCCTGCTGAAGCCATCATGGTCTGCACACATGCCCTCCTCCCTCCCCAGCTGCCTGGTTGAGGTGGTGGCCTCTGCATCTGCAGTGAGGCCAGGCCGAGAGAGATGAGTGAGGTCAGGATGGTGATGCTCACCTGTGTCTGTTTCTCTTTCCTTCTGGGACGCATGGGAGACTATACTTCTGAGTTGCAAAATGTGAACAACTGGTAAGTCAGGTAAAAGTGACATTTGTCTTGCAACTTTTCTATAGGTTTGATATCGAAACTCTGGGTAATTCTGCAGCACACTCTGCTTAAGCAATCACTGTTGTAGAGATGATGGGGGATGTGGGGTGTAGAAATTTCCTGATGAACACATGCATACCAGAGTTATCAGGGAGTAGAAACTAATAGTGACAAGTCCATTTGGAAAAGGGAGCGAGAGAGACAGATAGAGACAGACGGAGTTGAGCAGATGTGCAGAGAGAAGCACCTGGCCCCAGGGTGAGAGTGAAAATAGCTGCCTCAGCTCCTGTTCACTTTCACGTTCTCAATTCCCGTTTCACGAGGCCTAGCTATATGGCAGTCTGTACAGTATACAGTTCCTTCCTTGGATACTCAGGAAATCTATCCATTCTTAAGATATCCTCTCTTCCTTCCACTCTTGGCTTTCTTCTTTTACTTGGACCAGCCAAGGTAGGCAATTGTTTCTTAGAGCAGCTCCCACTAGAACATTTGTTAGTAATGATATTGATAGTTTATTTATTATTGTGCTTTATTGTACCGTTTAAGTTAATCCTTACACTATTAGCATTTTCATTTTATAGAGGAGGGAAAAAGAGATACAGAGAGGTTTGCTAACTTGCCCAAGGTTGTACAGCTCATAAGTGATGGAGCCAGGATCAAGCCTATATATATATATATATTTTTTTTTTTTTTTTTTTTAATTTTTTGAGACAGAATCTCTCTCTGTCGCCCAGGCTGGAGTGCAGTGGTGCGATCTCAGCTCACTACAAGCTCCACCTCCCTGGTTCACGCCATTCTCCTGCCTCAGCCTCCCCAGTAACTGGGACTACAGGCGCCTGCCACCACGCCCAGCTAATTTTTTATATTTTTAGTAGAGACGGAGTTTCACCGTGTTAGCCAGGACGGTCTTGATCTGACCTTGTGATCCACCTGCCTCGGCTTCCCAAAGTGCTGGGATTACAGGTGTGAGCCACCACACCCAGCAGGATCAAGTCTATATTCTTAATCATGAGGCCAGTATGTGTTTGAGGCTAAAAGTTGCCTCTGAATTCATCTTTGATTGAATTCTCATTTATTTATAAATAATTGTGTATAACTGGAATTTTTTCTTTGCCCCAAGGGTTAAGGTGTTTTTGTTTTTTTTTTAATTTTAATTTTTATTTCTTTAAGAGACAGGGTCTCACTGTGTTGCCTGGGCTGGAGTGCAGTGGCTATTCACAGATGTGATCATAGCGCCGCCCTACAGCTTCAAATTTCTGGGCTCAAGCCATCCTCCCGCCTCAGCTTCCCAAGCAGCTGGGATTACAGGAATGCACCACCACGCCCAGCTCAAGGGAGTATTTTTAAATGTCTAAGTGTTAGGTTGGTTGTTTGTTTAGCCTATTTTAAAATTTTAAAATTGTGTTTGTGTGAGGAAATGTGGTTTATTGTGCTTCTTGGAATTTTTGAGATTTTTCTTCATGGCCTATTATAAGATCAGTTGTTTTTGTTTAGATCTTCATTGTGGTATTTATTTTATTCTGCCTTTCTCTGTACCTCTGTCTCTTCTTTAAAGTGGTTCGATCACTGAGGTCAGGCATTGTCTGTATTGATCTATAAGGCAACTGCCTAGTAGAAATATTTAATAAGTAGGCTGAATAAATGAATATTGATCCTTGTGGATTTGAGGAGTGTTATATACATAAAAAATCCAGGCCAGGTGCGGTGGCTCACGCCTGTAATTCCAGCACTTTGGGAGGCTGAGGAGGGTGGATCGCTTTAACCCAGGAGTTCAAGACCAGCTTGGACATGGTGAAACCCTATCTCTATAAAAAAAAAAAAATACAAAAATTAGCCGGGTGTGGTGGCATGCACCTGTAGTCCCAGCTACTCTGGAGGCTGAGGTGGGAGGATCACTTGAGCCCAGGAAGCGAAGGTTGTAGTGAGCTGAGATTATGCCACTGCACTCCAGCTTAGGTGACAGAGTGAGACCCTATCTCAAAAAAAGAAAAAAACCAAAAAGGTAGAAAAAGGTAGAATAGAGACCAGGCCATTTCCTTTCCTTCGATCCCTCCAAATACCATGATTCCTTGTCATTTCTACTTGGATTCCCTCCACCACACCTCTTTGGACCTCAAAAGCATAGATTTCAATTGTCATAATCTTTGGTTTGGCACATTCTCATCATTAGTTCATACTTTGTTATAATGTATGCATTATAAGCATTTTTTTTTTTTTGATACAGAGTCATGCTCTGTCACCCAGGCTGGAGTGCAGTGGCATGATCTCGGCTCACTGCAACCTCTGCCTCCTGGTTCAAGTGATTCTTCTGCCTCAGCCTCCCAAGTAGCTGGGATTACAGGTGTGTGCCACCACACCTGGCTAATTTTTGTATGTTTAGTAGAGATGGGGTTTTGCCATATTGGCCAGGCTGGTCTCGAATTCCTGACCTCAAGTAATCTGCCCACCTTGGCCTCCCCAGGTGTTGGGATTACAGGCATGAGACACTGCACCTGGCCCATTATAAGCATTTTTGAAAACATCATCCCAAACAAAAACTGAAACTTTGACAATAACATACATCTAACTATGTGGTTCCCCCTTTCCCACCCCTTTTGTTTCTCACCATCTGAGGTGAGCATTTGAAACCCATTTTTATCATTCCCTTGCTTTCCTTTTTATGCAGTTTTATGCATCTGCATGTATTTTTCAAACTAAAAAAGGTTTTGTGTTGCATGTAATCTTTTGGAGTTTATTCAATTCTTGTTTCAATTTTGGTGGACTGTTGATTTCAGGAATTTTTTCAAAGGTCCTGTGATTTTCTTTTATTCATCCTTGCAGAGGGGATTTATGCTTGCCTAGGGTTGACATACAATCAAATGATTGATTTGGGATCTGTATGAAATTTTATAGCAGTTCCTGGTCAGAATCAAAGGCAGAACAGAAGGCTATAGGCTGCCATTGTGGGGACCCAGCAGGCTGTGTGGACTGAGTGGGGCGCTGTCTCCAGTTAAACATTTTCTCTCCACTGCCACATCCAACACTGGCCACTGGGTGTGGCAGCTCCCATCAGAGCAAGTTGTGGTCATGTTTCTGTGATGTCTGTCCCTGGAAGGAGGCACAGAGGCAGCAAGCATTCCTGTGGTGCCTCAGCTGGCCCCGTCACTCCTTTCTCAGATTAGAACACCCTTCAGGGATCTAGAAATATTCTTTATTCAGATGGAAACAATCATAGTAACAGGCCATTCTACCAATTGGATAGAGCTGTTTCTTCATAAGCCATAAACCTAAGACTAATCCTAATCTGTTTCCTAACTTGTGTTTTAACGCATACCCGGATTCTAACTGCCATGGTCTTTTCTGCAGAATGTGTTCTAGTCCCTACATCCTAATTTATACCCCAACTTCCATTCAAACCTTTCCCTTTTTCAATTTCATGAACCTTTCCCCTGAACCTCTAACATCTGTGACTGCTCCCAGCTCCTTTCCTTCCTCCCATTCCTGCCAAATGCTAGCCGTGAATTGCTGTTTAGTTAGCACTTACCGTAAGCTAGACGCTGGGGTCATTGCTCATTGTGTATCATCTCAGCTAGCTGATATCCTACTCTATGAGATGGTAACATTAGTTTTTCCATTTTACAGATGAGAAAACTGAGGCTCAATGAGATGAATTTGGACAAAGTCTATATCTCTGGTGAAGCTAGGATTTGATCTAGTGGTGTTTTTTTGTTTTGTTTTGTTTTTGAGACGGAGTCTCACTCTGTTGCCCAAGCTGGAGTGCAATGTGCGATCTCAGCTCACTGCAAGCTCCACCTCCTGGGTTCATGTGATTCTCCTGCCTCAACCTCCTGAGTAGCTGGGACTACAGGTGCCCACCACCACGCTTGGCTAATTTTTGTATTTTTAGTAGAGACAGGATTTCACTATGTTGGCCAGGCTGGTCTCGAACTCATGACCTTGTGATCCTCCTGCCTCGGCCTCCCAAAGTGCTGGGATTAAGGGTGTGAGCCACCGTGCCTGGCTGTTTTGTTTTTTAAAGTTATGATGCCTTTGGCTGTAAGTGAAAGAAAACTTAAAGTGGCCTTAATAATGAAATTTACTATTTGACATAAAAAGGCTGATTAATTCCATGGCTCTACATTACCCTCAGGACCCTGGCCTTTCTCCTCTACCATCCATCCTTGATGTGTCCAGGACTTGTCTTCAGGTTAGCTTTCCACAAGGCTTCCACATGCCTGCCAGCATTCCAGCCTCACATCCCCCAAAAGTCTAGGGGCAGGAATGGACATCGTTTCGTCTTGCGCATCTCTGTCTCTCTCACTTGCTCTAATTTGATGTGAATCTTTTCTTTAAGAGCAAAGAAACTTTTCCCAGGACCCTCCCCTGCCCCAGCAGATTTCCCCTCATATTATCCAGAATGCTGGAAGCCCGTGCCTAAGCGGTCATGGGGAAGGAGCATGGGACCACGCTTAGACTAATCCAGCTCATTCCTCCAGGCTGGCTCTCCAAGCCTCCCTGATGCAGTTTCTGGCTCCTCGGAAGAAAGGAGATGGGGGTCAGGAATAGGTATAAGCTGTGATAGTGTCTGTCACAGAATCCCAAGTCTGGTTGTTAAGCTTGACACACTGCTGCTATTCTGGGCTTGCCCCTCGGCTCCCATCCTCACTCTAACATATTTCCTCAGCTGTGAGGTAAGTCCCCACAACTCTAAATGACACATTCTAAGGCTGTCCTTGGCAGAACAGTGAGGAACATGAAATGTGTGCCTTGGAGCCCAGTGCTCTTATGTAATTCCCCTGGGATGTCAGTGCCGTCCTTGGTCAGCGCAGGCATGGTCACTGGAGGTGGGGAGAAGAGCAGAGCTCTGCCTCAGAAACGTGGGCCCTGAGCCCTCAGCCTGGCCCTGACCCAGCCCCAGAACTTTTTGTTTTGTTTTGTTTTTTGAGGTGGGGTCTGGCTGTGTTGCCCAGTTTGGACTGAAACTCCCGGACCCAAGTGATCCTCCCACCTCAGCCTCCTCAGTACGTTGATGTGAGCGTGGCTGCACCCGGCCCAGAGTTGGGTTTTAAACATGTTTCCCCGTCCTCTGAGATCTCATCTTCCTGGTCTGTGCTTTTTCTTCTCTTAGAATCCGAATTTTTTATTTTATTTTATTTTTTTAACAAATTCTAACTTGCTCCCTAGTGTTACCGCCCACACCTACAACAACTTTATCCTGTTTCCTTCCCTCAACCCCCACAGCTTTTCTGGCTCCCATGGAGTGCACACTCGGCCACTGTGGCCGGAGCCTGGCAGAGCCTGGCTCATTTGTTGAATGGATGACTCTGATTATAGCAGGTATTCAGTAAGCCACTCTTGTTAAATTATTGAAAATAAACGATGTTACTCCCTAGAGGTGTCTAGGTTCCTTTTTTTCCCCCATCACCTGTCCTCTTTCACCTCCCCTCTGGGCCCTGGCTTCCCTCAAAGATCCTTTCTCCAGGTCCCCCATCTCCTTTGATGAAGACTCATGAGGAACACAGTGTCCACCTCTCAGGCAGGCGCTCAGGAAGGAAGTCGCTGAGACAGAGCTCAGTGGCCCGAATGGTTTCTGCTCCCTCACCTCCCACGTCCCACCTCCCACGTCCCACCTCAGGGCTTCCTTCGGTTCGGGCCCTGCCCCACGAGCAGGACCACCTTTGTCCTGGACAGACAGACCTGCTAGCCTCTGCTCTACAGTTCTGCCGGCCTTCGCCCTGGCTGTCCTCACACGAGTGCCCCCTCCCTTCTCTCCTCCCTTAGCCCCGCCTCCTTCCTCTAGCCCCACAGCCCTGGACACGGTACACACAGACCAGAGCCTTGGCTCAAAGGCAAACAAAAGGAAATGCCCGGCTCCCCATGGCTGTGGCCAGCACCTTCATACCAGGGCTCAACCCTCAGAACCCTCATTATATCCCAGGGTAAGACTCCCACTTAGCGCTCCCCGCTTGCTGCTGGGAGTAGGGGTATAGGGTGGAGGAATTAAGCTGCTTAGAGCATGGGGCCAAGCGGACAGGTTGGTTTGGGAGGCTGAGGTCTCTATGGTGGTGGATGGAAAAGGAGAAGCAAGGGACTAGTGAGACACCGGGTCTGCCCCAAAGCTTTGTGTTGTTCTCTCCATGGGAACAGGGTAACAGCAGAGGAAGGATCGAAAGCCCAGGCAGAGAACTTAGAAATGCCTGCTCCAAATATATACACTGCTGAGTCCAGAAAGATCAGGGCTTCAGAGGTCTCCGCTTCTGCCTCTGGGGATGGCGGGGCAGGGCGATTCTGGTGAGTGGGAGAGTCTGTGCTGCAGGTACACTGGACACTGCCCACTACTTCGGTTCAGCGTGGGCCAGACCTATGGGCAGGTGACTGGTCAGCTACTTCGAGGCCCTCCTGGCCTAGCCTGGCCCCCTGTCCACCGCACACTTCTGCCTCCCATTCGGCCTCCAAGATCTCCTGAGGTTCCCAGGGAGAGTCTACCTGTCAGGCGTGGGCAAGAAAGGCTCAGCTCCAGCATGATCCCTGGGTACACAGGTTTGTACGCAGGTATGCACAGGTGCCCCTCCCAGGAGCATGTGTTCCAAACACTAACGAGTCTTCCTTGTCCCTGCCTGCCCAGGTTTTGTACCCCGGGCACAGTTCATCTTTGCCAAGAACTGCAGCCAGGTCTGGGCCGAGGCTCTGAGTGACTTTACTCACTTGCATGAAAAGCAAGGGAGTGAAGAGCTACCAAAGGAGGCCAAGGGAAGAAAGGACACAGAGAAGGACCAGGTGCCAGAGCCGGAGGGGCAGCTGGAGGAGCCGACACTGGAGGTGGTGGAACAAGTGAGACCAAGAAGCTGGTGGGGAGTGCAGAGGTGTGGGAGTGGGGGTCTTACTGTGTGTCCGGGCAGTGGGGGCAGCATGAGTAGTGTGGCTGTGGGTTCAGGGGATGTGCACTTGATTGTCAGCTCCACCTCCTTGGGAGATTGTGTGACAGCACAGGGGCTTCTCTCACAGGCTTCTCCCTACTCCATGGATGACAGGGACCCTCGGAAGTTCTTCATGTCAGGTGAGAGCTGGGGGGTCAGGATCAGAGGCGTGGGGAGGCCCCAGGATGCCTTGGCTCAGTGTCCCCATCCTCAGGCTTCACTGGCTATGTGCCCTGCGCCCGCTTCCTCTTCGGCTCCAGCTTTCCTGTGCTCACCAACCAGGCACTGCAGGAATTTGGGCAGAAGCACTCACCAGGCAGTGCCCAGGACCCCAAACATCTCCCCCCACTTCCCAGAACATACCCTCAGAACCTGGGTCTTTTACCTAACTATGGGGGCTACGTGCCAGGTGAGAAGAGCCCCCGGGGAGGCTTTGGGGACTGGAATGTTTGTTTGTATGGGTATGGGGTGGGTTGGGTGGTTTGTGGGGGTTGAAACTAATAGATATGGGAGGGCTCAGATCATGTGGTTCAGCTTTATTATCAGGCAGAAAAGGAAACCGAGGTAGCTACCCACAGTGGGGAATTAGGGCCAGATTTTAGAGGGCTGTTTGGAGGTCTAGCCAACTGGCTGAGAATTAAATGGCTTTGCCATGCCACTTGCTACATGTGACAGACTCTCTTGGCCACACAGGGTATAAGTTCCAGTTTGGCCACACATTTGGCCATCTCACCCATGATGCTCTGGGCCTCAGCACCTTCCAGAAGCAGCTCTTGGCTTAGGCCACTGGACATCAAGTTCCCTTCCCTTTTCATCCTATCCCAGCCATCCTTTTGGAAGGGAGAGAGGTGGGTGGGAGGGTGGGAGGGTGGGGGAACACAAAGAGAAAATGGTTTGGAGGCTGAGCACCTTTTTTATTAATAGGTATAATAAATAAATAAATAAATACATAAACAGACGCCTGGGCTCCTCCTCCCTCTTCTGATGACCAGGCACTGGCCACAGCCTATTTACAGCTGGGGGGCTTAGGGATCTGGCCCCAATACTGTTACCCATCCTCATCTCCACCTGGCCTAGGGAACCCTGTAGATGGCTTTCTGGGCCACCCGCCTCCAGGGGGACTTGCTTGTCTTCACCCATGGAAGGGTTGGCCCAGACGGGCCAGGGGAATCCTGGCAGCCCAGTGCTGTGTCCCATCCCTCTCCTGGGTGGAGGTCTGGACAAGGTCACTGGGACAGTTAAGGGGGCGTAATTAATACTGAGCACAGGGAGCAGGTGCCAGCACAGGGATACGTGGCCCCAGCTCTCAGTCTACTCTGCAGCCAAGCCAATGGCTTGGGAAGGGCTCTCGGGCTCTGAGTCTGGGGGTTATGAGGGTCCCTGAGGCCACCAGCATGCACAGGGCCTCAGTTTTGGCTGCTTCCAGGGGTTGGACTTGGAGTTGGGGTCAATGTCACGTAGGCCAGGGGCACCAGGCCAGAGTCGGGGCCACGGCTGCAGCGCAGCCAGTCTCCTCCAGCTCGCCCCAGCACTCGTAGGATGTCTCCTTTGTGGAAGCTCAGCTGTCCAGGGCCGGTGGCCAGGTGGTGGCACAGTGCCTGCACCTCACTGGGGAAACAGCACATGGAGGTCAGAGAAACCCCCTCAAAAGCCCCCCGCCCCCCTCAGCCCTTCCGTTTCCCCAGGCTTACCACGGAGGACTGGAGGGCAGGGCTGGGGAGTGTGGCTCCTGCAGGCTCTCCTTGGGCTCTGGCTCCCGGCGGGAACCCACTGTCTGCGCCACTAGTTGGAACATGGACTTGTCCAGGCTCAGCCAGTCCGAGGGGAGCCTAGGGACAGCAGCTGGACTCAGGCTCTGCCCAGGATGGGCTCTGCCCGTGCCCTGGCTTACAGCAGGCTCCCTACTCCCTCCATCCCTACCATGGGCAGGCTCTCACCTATTTGTGGGCCGGGCCTCCCGCTGGGCTTTTCGGGAGCCAAAGAGGTGTCCCCACTTGATGCCTCCAGGTGAAGGCTCTGAGGCCCCTTCCTCATTTTCTGCTGGCGAGGCAGCGGGCCCTTCCCTCTCCCGACTGCGCCTCAGCTCGGCCAGCACAGAGTCAGGGGGGCTCCCCATCCAGAAGGGCCAGCCCCTTTCCCGGCCCAGGGCCTCCTCAGAGGCAGGGCAGGCCTCAGCCCCCTCCACTACTCCCTCTCGGGGTGGTGGAGCCTGGGGAGGTCCCCCACCTCCTGCCCCTTTCTTTTTCTCGCTGCTGCTGTTGCTGCTACCACGAGGGAACCTGGAACCCTCAATGGAGCCATCGATGTAGACCTGGGAGCTCTGCATGAGCTGGTACCACCAGCCGGCCTGCCCACCTCGGGCCCACCTGGCACGCCCTGAGCCCCCGGCTGCCTCTGCCACCTCTTCTGTCTCCTCTTCTTCCTCTTCCTCTTCTCCACCTTCTGAGGCACCCACACCCTTCACCCGCTCCCCTTGGGCTGCCCTGTCCACGTCTCCAGGGCCCTCCTGGCCCCGGGCCCGGGCCAGCTGCAGCGTGGAGTGGGCAGACAGCAGCAGGTCCTGGGACACCCGCAGCAGTTCCTTGTGCTGCCGCTGCTGCTGCCCACTTTGCAGCAGCCGGTGCTGGAACAGCAAGTCGAGGCTGAAGGGCAGCAGGGCCAGGGGCTGTAGCAGCAGCAGCAGCTCTTCAAAGAGGCCGGGACACACGGTATGAGCTGCACTCAGGAAGCCCCAGGGCTGGTAGTGGGTCTGGATGATGTCTAGGGGAAAAGAGAGAGGGACTGATCCACACAGAGAACCAGAGCCTGGCCCAAGTGGGACTTTGAAAGACAGTCTGGGCAGAGCTGCTGCAGACAGCGGTGCAGGCTGTGCACTAGTCAACTTGCATGTACTAAGTATAAACGCTGCTGCCCACAGCTGTGCAGTGCCTAAACTCTCCAACCCCAGGCGGTGGCCCTGAGTTTAGAGGAGTGAGATGCAGGGATTCCTGGCCACCCTAACTCCCAGATTGCTAGAGTATCCTGCTGGCTCCAAGGTTTTTTGTTTTGTTTTTTGAGACTGAGTCTCACTCTGTTGCCCAAGCTGGAGTGCAGTGGCATGATCTCGGCTCACTGCAACCTCTGCCTCTCAGGTTCAAGCAATTCTCGTGCCTCAGCCTCCCGAGTAGCTGGGACTACAGGCATGCGCCACCACAGCCGGCTAATTTTTGAATTTTTAGTAGAGACGGGGTTTCACCATGTTGCCCAGGCTAGTCTCAAACTCTTGACCTCAGGTGACCCACGTGCCTCGGCCTCCCAAAGTGCTGGGATTACAGGCATGAGCCACCATGCCTGGCCCAAGGTTTTAACTCAAGCAGAGGCTGGGGAAGGCCTTGGGTGGAAGCCTGAGGCTCTGAGGATGAACGCTTGTGTGGTCCCCCTCCCCACCTCCAGCAATGAAAAGACAGCTCTTCCTTCCTCTTTTGTGCCTCTGAATTCTGACCCATTGAGTTTGACCTGCAGGGTTCTAGGCATTACCTTCGTGGTTATAGAGGTGATTAAACCAGAACTCCAGGGACCGGATGCTGTAGGGAGACAGGTGAAGAGAGTTGAGTCTTGTGTGAATACAGCCAGATAAGGAGACAGATCCAGGGGGTCAGGCACAGGAAGAATAGGTGAACACGCCCTTCCATGGCACGATTCATTTCACCTAATTCCAGAAAGTCAGTGGGGATGTGTGGAGGGAGATGGACATGTGATTTACAAGCCAATTGTTTCCTCCTGGAGTGGAGTCAGCCTGCAGTAGACCTAAGAAATCAAGGCAGCTACTGTGTGAAAGTACAGGCAGCTCAGGGCCAAAGGGAATGGCCTGGGCCCATACCTGAGAAAGCATGTTACTAGGATGTGGGTCCCAAGGTGGACTTAGGGTCAAGCAGGATTTGGAAGTAGTGCTGGAATGGAGAGGATCAGGGTTTACAAGGTCCAGAGAAATTAAGAAACCCAACTAATTTCCAAATAAGCCAGATTACAGATTTGTAAAAGCAGACCACGTTGGTGACCAGTGACAGAGTCATGGGCACAGTGGGGAGGCAGTGACCTACTGAGAGGCCATAGCGGGCTGAGGGGACCCTCCAGATCCACCCTTTCTGTCTGTCCAGGGCGTTGTTTCCTTGGTGCAGGCAGAGCCCGGGGGTGGGGGGCAGGGCAAGTTGTTTAGGGGATCTTGCTGCTCTGTGCACTCACTTGAGCAGGCCGAGGATGAAGGCGTTGAAGCGCATGGTATGACTGGTGAGCTCTGGGAATTGGCTGACTTTGTTGTAGAGGCCATGCAGGACCTTGGTGGATGGGCCTGGGAGGAAGCCAGGGTTGCAGGTCACATGACCAATTTCTGGAGCCCTAAATTCAGCCCTGGGTCCCCGTCTTGGCACCCAGCACCTACCTAGCTGTGTGGAAGCCTCAACCACACTCCATGGCATGTTCTTACGCTGCCCGATGATGACGTCCAGTACAAAGGCCTTGAGCCCATCCTCCAGCACGGCGCGGACGGCAGGGCACAAGTACTTCAGAACCAGGTGGCCCACATTGGGGCTCACAGAACTGTTTCCCAGCTTTGCCTGTAGGTGTGGTAGGGAAGTGCAGGAAACCCCCTCAGGCCTGACTGTGGTCCTCTCGTAGCAGGCCCTCATGGTTCCCCTCTTGCCGTCCCCATTCCTAAGTACCCAACCCTGGGCTCTAAATGCAAGACAGCAAGGGAAGGTGGTAGCGCGGGACAGGTGAGGGCTTGCAGGCAGAGCTCAGCTCTCCACATTTCCTTGCCTACCTTCACCCCGGGATCCCGGCTTGTGCCAAAATGAGCCACAATGAGGTCCACAGCGATGTTAACAGCTTTTACCAGCCCTGCAGGGAAGAATGTGATGTGACAGGTCCCTGAGCAAGTCCTTAACCAACTCAGCTGGGGCTGAAACCTCAGGTTTCCTCAGGGAAAGGGCTCCCACACTTACTCCGTCTCCACATCTGCACATGGGTCTTATCAAAACATTCAGGCCTGGCCCTTTTCTGGTTCTGCCCAGTTCTTAAGCTCTTCCTGTCTTTACTTCCCAGCCTGGAGCTACCTCAGTGATGCCACTGTCAAGCCTCTCAATGTCCTTACCTCTCAGCCCTTATTCCAATCCTGGGTCAGGCCAACTATCGGTTTTCTCCACTCTGAGAAACCGGGCCACTGACCTGAAGAAAACCCAAGTCCCTCACCCCAGTGCCAGTGCCAGACAAGGGCGGTTCTTTGACACATGGCTTGTCAGCACTCTCTGCCATACCCTCAAGTTGCCATGTGAAATCGACACCCCTCCTCTCAAGCCCTTGGTTCTGCTTCAGAGAACAGAGTTCCCTAGTTATAAACTCCTTTAACTTCCCTCTACCTCCAAAATCCATAACAATCTCATATGTACACCCCTCACTCCCCTGCCCACTTGCATCCCCTTCGCGTCCTGGAGGAAGGTGGCCGTTTCCCTTCTTGCCCGGGTTCTTTCTCCCTGAGCTCTGATTCTCCCCTTCTGCCTTTGCAAGGAACTTCAGCTCTCTCTTCACAGGCTCATCTTCAGCCCACAATTATGCTCAGTTCTCTCCATCTCCCTAAAAATGTTCTTAGTTCAGTGGTCACTTATTTGCTAAATAGTGTGGGTCTTGTCAATCTTCATCTTACTAGATGTCACCAACACTCTTACCCAAGCTGCTGGGCCCTCTAGTACCTTCACCCGCCCCCTCCAAGAGCACTGAGGCATTTTTTGATGACATGGAAGCCTCCTCATGAGACTTTGCTCACTGCAGGAAGGGACCGGAGCGTGACTCTGAAAGCCTCTGATGAATGACCCTTGCTCACTCACATGCACTCATGATACACAGCACACAGCTTCCTCCTCTGGCCCCAGAGCCTGTGTGCTCCAACACCTTCCCAGCACCTGGAGATTTGTTTGTGGTTTTCTTTTGAAAAGGAGTTTTCAGTTTTGTTGCCCAGGCTGGAGTGCAATGGTGTGATCTTGGCTCACTGCAACCTCCACCTCCTGGGTTCAAGTAATTCTCCTGCCTCAGCCTCCCGAGTAGCTGGGATTACACGCGCCCACCACAACACCCAGCTAATTTTTTTTTGTGTTTTTAGTAGAGATGGGGTTTCACCATGTTGGCCAGGCTGGCCTCGAACTCCTGACCTCATGATCCACCTGCCTTGGCCTCCCAAAGTGCTGGGATTACAGGCGTGAGCCACTGGGCCCAGCCAGCACTTAGAGGTTTCAGACTGGCTAGGTAGTAGGGCAAGTGTGAGGAGGTAGTGACAGCAGAGTCCCTGGCCTGAGCTGGGGGTTGTATGCACCTTTTTTCTGAAGCAGGTCAATGGAAATGGCCTCTGAGCTGCCATCTGGGGACAGACAAAACTCAGCTGGAGGCTTCTCCGTCAAGGAAAAGGGGTCCTGGAAGTCAGGGCAGGTCAGTGGTAACGGCTTCACTGCTTGGCCTGGAAAGAAGAGAAAAATCAATCCTGAGCAACTCTCAGTGCAGGAGTTCCAGGCCAGTTCAGTGCCTCGTACCGTCTGAGACACGTTCCTTTGGGACTGACCCCTTCTCTAGCCCTTTCCAGCCATGGCAGAGCCTGCCCCGGGTGTACTGGGGACCCTGCTCACACACCATTCAGCCGGCAGTTCAGATGGCTGGCAGCACTGAGGGAGCCAGGGAACTCAAAGATAGGGTTTCTTCGGGCCAGCCGAGCTTCTTGTGATCTTCGGTCTAGGCTCCCTGACAAACCAGGTGGCCCTAGTGGGTTCTTCCTCCTGTATTCCCGCCACTTGAGGGCTTGAGGGGATAGGTGGTTGGCTGGAAGCAGAACAGATTAGCAGAAAGACAAGAGTTGGCAGGAGACAGCGAGACAGAGTTTCACATCCACCCAGTGGGCCCATATGAAACACTAGATTATCTGTGGATATTATCTACAGATGCTGAGGGAGGGATGCAGACATCCTAACCTCTGGCCCCAGGTGAGAGTGTAAGCAACCACTCAAAGGGGAGGTGGTGGAAGTGCTTGCGTGAGGTGGCGGGTTGGGTAGGGAGATGCTGGAGCTCGTACCATTACTGGGCCTGGTGGCCATGCTGCCCTCACCACCTCCCCGGGCCAGGCTCTCTGCTCGGCTGAGGCCAGATCGCCAGGAGCCCAGAGGCGGCAAGCTTCCTGTTCCATGGAGCCGGTACTCAGTCAAGGTCAGTATCTTCTGATCCTCCTTCTGCGGCTGCTGGGAGGTGGCAGGCCGGACAGCAGAAGGACAGGAGTGGCTCCATGGGGGCAGGCTTTCTGTGGCTGTGGGCTGCTCTGGGGGAGGGGAGCACGAAGTGGAGGCAGAAGAGTCAGTGCTGGGCCCAAAGGGGCCAACACTCCGGATGGGGGAGTAGCTGCCCAGGGGCGATGGCCGAGAGGTCTCTGGCTCAGACCCAGCTTTCCTGGCACCTCTGCCAGTGGCTCGGGGAGTGGATGCCTGCGGTTCCCCTGAGGGAGCTGGGACTGAGACTTGAGCAGCAGGGGCAGCCAGTGGGGCAGGCTGCTGTGTACGGCTGCAGCCTGAGAGGCTGTAGAGCTGGGAAAGGCTGTGGAGGGCCCGGGCCTTGGCCAGCTGCTTGGGGAAGTGGTGCTGGAACACGAAGGGCTGGATGGGCAGTGTGGTTGGCCTCTGTTCCTTGCTGTAGCGAAGGACTGGTCGGCTCTCGGTGCCACCCCCTGTAGCAAAGGGATGGAGAAGAAATCAGTAGACAGACACTGAAACCCATATGAGAGAAAACCCAGAAGCAGAGATGGGAGAGGGGAGAGGGGCAGGGACCTGGCTGGCAGGAATTGAATGGGGTAGAAGTTCGTGGAATGGGACACTGCTCCCCTCTTTTGTAAAACGCTTCCTATTGCTTTTATGGTGCTGGACTGTCTTGTACCTCTCTGCTGTTCAGTCCCTCTTCATTTTCTTGACTCCAAAGGTGAGTGTATCTTAAGGCTCAACTCTTGCATCTCACCTTACACTTTATTTCTTGAGAAGTTTTGAGTTCAGACTTCTACGGGATGACTCCCAAACCCACAGCTTTAGCCTGGACCTTCCTCTTCATCTCCAGATCATTCTGCTTTATAGTTCTGCTTTCACTTAAAATGTGCTATAACCGCTTATCCATCACCTTTCTCCTTTTTTCCGATGACTTCCATTTCTATCAATGGCAGAACCATTTTCTTTGTTTCTAAGTCTTGGAGTCACAGTCACACACATTTTCAGTGATGAAAATGTTTCAGATGTTACTGACTTCAAGCTTTTGCTCATTATCCCATCTCCAATCATGCCAGCACATTTCATTCCTGAGCATATCGAACCATAGTAAGATATTTCTTTACTTGCAGCCTACCTGTTATCTGTATCTACCCCCACTCCCACTCTTTTCACGATCCTGGCATTGGAACCTCAGAGTCCACATTTGCTCCCCCTGAACGGAGGTATGTTCCCCAAGGCTGGGCCTCTCCTGTTCTTTCAGGCAGTCTTCAGGTCAATGTCCTTCAAAACGTGGTGCTCAGAACTAAACACAAAACTCCAGGACACTGGAGTGGGACAGTGGATGGACTGCACTTCCAACAAAACACTGTAGATCTCCGAATAAACGTAAGATGGCGCTATAAGCACGCACCCGGCCTAAAGCCCTGGTGAAAGCTCACCAGCAGTGGGGCTCAGTAGCTCTGCGAGGCGGGAATTAGTTCTCTTACTTGACATATTAGGAAATGTGAAATGTAGACAGATTAAAGCACTTGCTCAAGGTCAAACAACTAGGAAGTGGCAGAGCTAGAATTCTGCCTAACCCAGAGTCTGATTTCAGAGCCACTGTTCTTTTTACCACATTGTACTACATGTGAAATTGTATCAGGCCAGGTTTTCCTATCCCTCATCTTATTTACATCAAAGAGTCAGAGGGGATGGGGACCACAATCCCATTAGGGAGGTGCTTCTGAATCACTCCCAGGGGACACTTTCAAGCTCCACCCTCCTGCTATACCCAGTCACTGCTTACACAGACTCTGCATTCTCCCTGGCCCACTGTGCTCCAGCCACACTTCCCCGTCCTTAAACACACCAGATGCATGAACATCTCCGGGCCTTTTGCACCTGCTTTTCTTTCTGTCTGAATCTTCTCACCATTCAGGCATCAGCTCAAATATCACCCCCTCAATAAGACCTTCTCTGACTACGTCAGCCCCTCTGGCAAGTTGCTCTCTATCCCATTACCCTGTTTCATTTTCTTTTCAGCATTGTTGAACTTTCCAGCAATTAAAAGTTGTCCTTTTAATGTGTTTATTGTCCATTACTGCTCCTAAGAGCTCCAGAAAAGTGGGGATTTTATATTGTTCACTGCTGGATCCATAATGCCTGGAACAGAGGCTGGCACACAGTATGGAGTGAAAAACCATCTGTTAAATGAGGGAATCTCCACGGTCACTCTTGATTCAAGCCAGTCTCACTACAACCAGAAGCTTCTTACATACACCAACTAGCTTCTGAGATACAAATTTTATCTCCCAGAATAAAGTCTAATCTTCTCAGTGAGCTAGTTGCCCACACCTGCTACGAGCTAGGCTGCTCTCCCTTCAGACTTCCACACCTGCCCCCACTGACCCTACTCTTCCCAGTCCATCCCTGTCATGAAGCCCACTGCTTTTCCCATCAGGAATGTGTCCTTCCTTTCCGCCTATTTAAGTATCAGTTTTCAAGGCTGAGCTGACTCTGGCTATCGGATTAGGTCATCCCAACCACAGCATTATTATACCCCCTATACAAAGTATGTCTGAATTAGACTGCTTATTCCTACCCTTTTAAAACTCCTCTCTGCTAAGTTCCCAGGATACAGACTGAGGCAGAGGAATAAGATCAGGTAAGAAGGGGGCCCCTGTGGGGAATGGGTCTTAGTTCTACCCTCAGGGAATACACAGAATAAGTTTTCTCACTTTTCTATGTGACATTCATTAAGAAAACCAGAGACAGAGACCGTATTCACCCGAGTCAGTTTTTCTCTAGGTTAAATAGCCCCAGTCCCCCAGTTCCTCAGTTCCTTCTTAAGATGTGGTACCCAGAACTCAATGGAATACCACTGAGCACTCACTGGTTCGGAGGAGTGAGAGACTATCCACTCTTTCTTTCTGGAGTCTATGAATGAATCCAGTCATCTTAACTTTTTGGAAGCTCTACCAACTGCTGACTCAATCTGAGTTTGCAATCAAATATCCCAAATCAACTCAAGTGCAGGTTACATATCAAACTTCACATTGGTCTCTGCTTTATTAGTTTTGTTCTTTCAAGATTCAGTAAGATCCCTTTAAATCTTGATTCTGCTGCTCAGTATCTCAAAGAGCCGTCTCAGCTGCCTTTTTTATTTTTATTTTTTAATTTACTTTTTTCTGAGACAGAGTCTCACTTTGTCACCCATGCTGGAGTGCAGTGGCGTGATCTCAGCTTACTGCAACTTCCGCCTTCCAGGTTCAAGCGATTATTGTGCCTCAGCCTCCCGGGTAGATGGGACTACAGGCGTGCGCCACCATGCCTAGCTAATTTTTGTATTTTTAGTAGAGATGGGGTTTCTCCATGTTGGCCAGGCTGGTCTCGAACTCCTGGCCTCAAATGATTTCCCCACCTCAGCCTCCCAAAGTGCTGGGATTACAGGCATGAGCCACCACACCTGGCCTACTTTAATTTTTTTTAGAGACAGGATCTCACTTTTTGCCCAGGCTGGGATGCAGTGGTGCAATCATAGCTCACTGTGCCTCAAACTCCTGGGCTCAGGCGATCCTCCTGCCTCAGCCTCCCGAGTAGCTAGGACTACAGGCATGTGCCATCACTCCCAGCTGTTTTTAAATTTTTTTTTCTGTAGACACAGGGTCTCACTATATTGCCCAGGCTGGTCTCAAACCCCTGGCTTCAAGTGATCCTCCTGCCTCAGCCTCCCAAAGTGCTGGGATTATAGGTGTGAGCCACCATGCCCAGCCGACCTTCTCAGCTTCCTATACTGTCATTCCTAGATTGGATCAACCTGTCCCTTCTTTTGTCATTCAAAGCTTGATGAATTGTCATTCATTTTTGATTTAGAAAAAAGCTGTACAGAATCAAGAGAAGACTGGAGACTTATGGAACAGAGCAGCATGTTGATATGTCTTAATCTGATAGAGAAAACACATCTCTGACCAGGATATTTCTTGCCCTCAGAATGCCAGTCATAGTATCCCACGAGATGCACCCAGCAGACAGACACTGCAGTCTAAGGGAGTGGGTTCAAAGGACCCAGTCAATCCTTGCTGTTTCTGATCCTGCCCCTTCCCTAGAGATCTCCCTCCCATGCCCACCCCAAGGACAGCTCTTCAGTGTATGTTAGGAACATGAAGTCTTCTGATGGACTGTGATCTCCCTGACAGCACAGATATTATTTATGGTTTTAAAACATTTTCTTTTGTGAAGCCAACAGACCCAACCTAAGGCTACAGCACAGCTGTGAGCCTCTGCTATCCCTGCTTTACCTCCCTTTCCTTCTAAACCCTCTGAGATCTGGCTTCCACTCTCACTACTCCTGAATGTTGCCTTCAGGATTCTTCATTATCTTAGGTGATTTCTCTTTAGAACTCTTTTGGTTCAAACTTTTTTTAAACTTTCTCCTCCTTTGGTTCCTGTGACTTCACTCTCTCCTGGTTTTTCTTTTTTTTTGAGACGGACTCTCACTTTGTCACCCAGACTGGAGTGCAGTGGCATAATCTTGGCTCACTGCAACCTCTGCCTCCCAGGTTCAAGCGATTCTCCTGCCTCAGCCTCCCATGTAGCTGGAACTACAGGCACCCGCCACCACACCTAATTTTTGTATTTTTAGTAGAGATGGGGTTTCACCATGTTGGTCAGGCTGGTGAACTCCTGACCTCAGGTGACCCGCGCACCTCGGCCTCCCGAAGTGCTAGGATTACAGGCATGAGCCACCATGCCCGGCCTCTCCTGGTTTTTCTTCTATTGTCCTAATTCTTCTGTCTCTTTTGAGGGTGCTGCTCATCCCTTAAGTCACAGTATCCCCTTCTTCCCTTTATAACTCAACACATTCTCCCTGGATCCTCTCTCAGCCACACACATAGCTTCAGCTACCACTTTTGTTTTTTATTTTTGAGACAGAGTCTCACTCTGTTTCCCAAGCTGGAGTGCAGTGGCATGATCTAGGCTCACTGCAACCTCTGTCTCCTGGGTTCAAGCGATTCTCCTGCCTCGGCCTTCCATGTCGCTGGGATTACAGGCGTGCACCACCACACCCGGCTAATTTTTGTATTTTTAGTAGAGATGGGGTTTCACCATGTTGGCCAGGCTGGTCTTGAACTCCCGAACTCAGGTGATCTGCCTGCCTCAGTCTCCTAAAGTGCTGGGACTATAGGTATGAGTCACCACGCCCAGCAAGTGCCAGCTACCACTTTTATTCCAATGACTTTCCAATCTACACAGTGCTTTCTCCTGACTTCAGGAAGACACCCCTTCCAGTCCATCTTCTACCCAAACAACCAGTGATCCAATTACTTTTTTTTTTTTTTTGAGGTGGAGTTTCGCTCTTGTTGCCCAGGCTGGAGTGCAGTGGCGTGATCTCGGCTCACTGCAATCTCCATCCCAGATTCAAGTGATTCTCCTGCCTCAGCCTCCAGAGTAGCTGGGATTACAGGCATGCGCCACCATGCCTAGCTAATTTTTGTATTATTAGTAGAGATGGGGTTTTACCATGTTGGCCAGGCTGGTCTTGAAAACCTGACCTGAGGTGATCCGCCCGCCTTGGCCTCCCAAAGTGCTGGGATTACAGGTGTAAGCCACTGTGCCCAGCCCAATTACTTTTTTTTTAAACAAGGCCTGAAGGAACAACCAACCAGTGATCTTTCTAAATGCAAATCAAAACATATAATTAAGCAGACAGAAAAACCAAACCAAACAAAAACAAACAAATGCCAAAAGCCATTTCTCTAAAATTTTTCAGTGGTTCCACCTGTGTTCCACTATGGCTTCACCAAATTATATGCAGTTCCTAGAAAGGGTCAAGCTATTCTGTGCCTTTGTGGTTTTGTACAGACAATCCTGTGAGCCTAGAACATTCTTCTTACAAGTCGTCACAAAGCCCAATCCTAATCATCTTTCTAGATTGGGCTTAAATGTAACTGCATTAGCAGTTCCTCCCTGACGTTTCAGTCTGATTTACATACCCCTTTCACTGGCCAGTACGGAACACTGCCATCTCTGCATTTTAATGATCAACTACGTTTTCTGTTTCTGTCCTTAGCTGGAATCCTTGAAAACAGAGTCATCCCTCTCATCTCTCTGTCACTAGCACCACCTTAACACACTGGTATAAAATATTTATTTAAAATGTAACAAAATAAATAGGGAAAGAGCTGGCCTAGGGAGGCCACTGCACTCCAGCCTGGGCGAAAGAGCAAGACTCCGTCTCAAAAAGAAAAAAAAAAAAACTTCACTGACGCCCAGTGTGTGTGTGTTGTTGTTGTTAGACATATCCCTTGGTTGCCCCTTAGGCACTGCAAACTCCTAAAGGTCTGAACCTGAACTTTTCTTCCAGGAAATCTCCTGTGATTACAGCCCCTATCCATGGCCTCATCTTTCCCATCATCCAGGTTCAGAATCAGTCTTCTGAATCCTTCATTTCCCAATATGTCAGCCTCTAAGTCCTGCTGATTTTATCTCCTCAGTGTATTTATTTATTTTTTTTTTTTGAGACAGAATCTCACTCTGTCTGCCCAGGCTGGAGTGCAGTGGTATGATCTCAGCTCAGTGCAACCTCCACCTCCTGGGTTCAAGCAATTCTCCTGCCTCAGCCCCCTGAGTAGCTGGGATTACAGGTGGGTGCTACCACTCCTGGCTAGTTTATTTTTTATTTTAGTAGAGCTGGGGTTTCATTATGTTGGCCAGGCTGGTCTCAAACTCCTGACCTCAAGTGATTCGCCTGGCTTGGCCTCCCAAAGGGCTGGGATCACAGGTGTGAGTCACTGCACCCAGTCTGCTCAGTGTATTTTTGAGTCCTCTGTCTTTCTCCAGTGAGCCTATTCCACTGTAGCTGTGGGTCCTGCCCTGGCCTAGAAGGATAACAGATCTAGGATGTGGAACCTCTAGTGGTATGGATGGGGTGGTCTGGCAGGGACCTGTCAGGGAGGTGGCCATGCATATCCTGCTGGTGAATAGCCACATATTTGCTAACCCTTAGGCTCCTTACCGTCAGCTCTAGCTCTTGCATCCCTCTGGGTATGGCTGTTGGCTGGGCTCCCTGGGAGAGCAGGCCCTGGATCCATCAGCTGAGCCAGGGGGCCTTGCCCAGTAGCTCTGAGGCCAGCAGGAGGCATCTCACTGGAGTGGGGTCCCTGACAGACCTGGGTGGACCAGGGTGGACTTGGGTCTGGGCCAAGTAGGTCCATGCCTGGCCCCAAAGGCATGGGTGGCAGGCTATGGCTACAGCAAGTGCCCTCATCCAGTGGGGCCCCCCGATCTTGCTGGGCTTCTTGGATGGGTGAGAACTCCTGGGAGGAGTCCCCAACACTCACACGAAGTGGGGGCGAGCCAGAGCCTCCAGTTTTCTTCCGGCCCTTGGCCAGCTCGGCAAAGGAGGTGACCCTCCTGGGTGGGGAGCCAGGCCCGGCCATGGCTGCAGGGCCCTCACTCAAGCGCACTGGGCAACTCAACATACGTTCCAGCGAGCCCAGGCGGACAGGAGGGCTGCGCTGCAGGCTGCGATCATAGCTGCGGGAGCGCTGACGTCCAGTGCTGAGGTTGGGGGGTGAAGTATTCGTGTATACTTGTCCCTCAAGCACAGTGGGGCCCACAGCAGCTGCTGCTTGGGTGGAGGAACTCACTGCTTCTTGTTCCTCTGGCTGGACTTCTGGCTTCTGGAATAGGTAATACTCAGAGGGCTGGCTGGGGCCTGGGTCTGGGCCAGGGCCTGGTGGGGGACTTATCTTGGTGTGTTCCTCAGAGCAGCTAGTGATGGAAGAGCCAGCAGGGCTTGGGGATGATTGGGAAGATAGGTCACAGGTGACAAGTTTATAGTAATTTTGTGTGGCCACAACAAGACGGGCCTGGCTTTGGAAGCAGGCTGTGAGGTCAGCCACTGCTGGGCACGGCTCACAGTGTGGGCGGTAGGAGTTGCAGTTGGCATCAAGCTCAGGAGAAGAGGCATGAGGGCAACCATAGCCCCCTTCCCTTCCTCCACTTTCAGGGTGATGGGACTCATAAGACATCTTAGACTCAAATGGGGAGGGCTGCAGATCCAGATAGAAGGCGCCAGGGTCTGAGTGGCTGCAGAAGGAAGAGTCGCTGCAGGACTGTGGGGCAGAGTTGAGATTGGCACGGGGGGTGCCATGCATCTTGTTGTAGAGGGTGCTGAAGGTGACCAGCACACCATCTGAACTGTTGCAGGAGGAGTCGCTCACATAGCCCATGGACTGGTCAGCTGCCTCGGACTGACTGGATGTGCTACTGCAGCGGCAGTGCTGGTCCCCTGAGCCGGAGCATCCAGGGTTCCTTGGGGATTCATCTGAACTGAGCTTCCATTCCTGGTCAAAGGAAAAGCCAGAGGTATCGCTGGCTCCACCCCCACTGCCACTCCCACCAGGTCCCCCACACTCATCCAGCTCCATAGTCTCTGCTTCCAGCTCTGGCCGGCAGCAGTGGCTGGTGCCGCACTGCTGAGTATCCAAGGTCATCACTGGCTCCTGTTCCTGCCCTTCCACCACTCCAGCCCGACTGCGTGTTGTCCCCCATGGCCTGCCCACTCTGGGGCCAGATGGTGGCAGCTGGAAAGAGGATAGATGAAAGTTGGGCTGGCCAGTGCCATGCAGGTGGAAGGACTGCTGGGTGGCACTGTCACCAATGCTGTCATCATACAGGTCACCAAGTCCTGGCTCACCCACACCCTCCTGCAGCAAGAAGGGGTTGTGTCGTTTGGGGGCTCCAGGGCCTCTTCCATCCCGACTCCTACTCTTGGTGCTGTCTATAGACCGTGCAGTTCCTCCTGGAGTAGAGTGCAGGCTGCTGAATAGCAGGGAGTCAGCTTGTCCTAGGTCTTGATCGGGCTGGGTGATGCCCAGCTCAGGTGGGCAGAAGGGATTAGGTCTTGTGCTCCCACCACCTCCACCTGCCCCTCCACAGCACTGCCTGTCTGGGACTTGGCAGTGCACCAGGGGGATGTGATGAACGATGAGGGTCTCTCCAGTCAGCTTTGGGGGACTATCCATTCTGGAAAGTTCGAATAAGGGCTTCAACAGCACCAGACACTGTCCCTGGAGCCCAGTGGGGCAGAACACATTTCATCAGGAGAGCTTGGCACCTGGAGAGAGAGGGAAAGAAAGGGAACCTAATGTCACCTCCCTGGAAGTCAGGGGCATGCCCTTCCCTACATCATTTTCAGATGGAGAAGAGCCCAGGAAGAGAAAAGGCTTGAGTCAAGATGGAGCTTGACCACACAGCCCAATAGGCAGGTGGGGACGTAACCATGCTTTCTGCATTGCACAGGTGCAGCACCTGAGGTCCCCCTTAATTTTAAGGTCACTATGCATCAAATTATGACAAAAGGCCAAGTCCTTCTAATGCCACATATGAAGGTTTGGGCAGTACTTTCCCTTTCTCTTTCAAGGACCCTCTCCTTGGCAGTAAACAATGACCAGTCCTTAGCACAAAAAAACTATGAATAATGACACAATTAAGAAAAAACCATCTAGGATGTTTAAGGCTTAGACACAGCTATAGCACACAAGTTTACAGCCAAGAGGGAAAATCATGAATAATATGAACTCATAGCAATAAGCTATAATTTTGCAAGAAGCATTTTAAAATATACGGTATCATCTGACCAAGTGACTGTTATCTCTGATCCCCTTTCTCGTCCTACAAGCCCCAGAATATTTGTCCCTTTCTGATGACCGTGGGCTAAGTATCCTTACTATCCTCACTACTATACTAGAACTTCTTGAATGCAGACACTGAGTTGGGCATTAGGGTGACTGCAAGTATGACTGATGTCAACCTCTTCCTCCTCAATGGGGGTGGGGGGACCTAGTTTTATGTCTTTTGTATCATTCTAACACATCACACAAGATAAACGTGAAAGGCATAATACATTCTTAACATGCGTCTAGCTCAGGATACAGACATCCTGAAGTGCCCAAATGCTGCCCAGTTTTAGCTTAGAACCTTCACTACTGGGATCCACTAGAAAGTCTTCTCTTCCCAGTTTTACCTCTTATAGGCTAAAGCAAAGTTCTCTCTTGTTCAAGGTCTCCTGGTGCCAAGGACACAGAACCCATCCTGAGCTTCTCTGGTCTCTTGGCTGCACCGTGGCAGTGTGGCCTGCTCAAGTTCTAGTCTCCTGTGTTTCCACGTTCAGGTCGCAACAGTCTTCATTCCCTTCGACTCCTCACATGTAATGTTCCAAAATTCATTCATTTCCTTTCTCTTTTTATTCCTATCATTTCCTTTTCACTCACCCTGAGTCTAAATCCCTCATTGCCTTTCTCTTATTCATCATTTAACTGAATCCTTGACACAATCAATTTCTTAAAATTTAACTCATGTAGACCATAGGGTCATAGCTCGTCATGTGGAATGTGGTAAAGTCTGAGGCAAGTCACATATGCTCAAGGACATGAACAAACAATGCATAAAAAATATGGCTAATAAGTATACGTATAAGGGACAAGGTATTAAAATATAATTGTGTTAAATTTAAGCAGCAATTATTTACAATCTTGCTTCCTCCTCCCCTTTCTGAGAGGAAGGCAGGCTCCTCTGTTGAACTTCCAAGCCTTTGTGTGTTTAATGGGCTAATGGGTAGAGATGTAGAAGGGCAGATATTAAGAGAGTCTGAGCTACAAGATTAAGGGTTACAGAAGAAAACATAGGAGTAAATCTTTGTTATCTTGGATTAGGTGATGGTTTCTTAGATATGACACCAAAGGCACAAGTGACAAAAGAAAAAACATAAATTGGACTCCATAAGAACCAAAAACTTTTGTGCTTCAAAGGATACCACCAAGAAAGTGAAAAGACAATCCATAAAATGGGAGAAAATATTTGCAAATCATATACCTGATAAAAGACTTCTAATCAGAATATATAAAGAACTCTTACAACTCAACAATAAAAAGACATACGAGGCTGGGCACAGTGGCTCACGCCCGTAATCCTAACACTTTGGGAGGCCGAGGTGGGAGAATCATGAGGTCAGGAGACAGAGACCATCCTGGCCGACATGGTGAAATCCCATCTCTACTAAAAATATAAAAATTAGCTGGGCGTGGTAGTGCATGCCTGTAATCCCAGCTACTTGGGAGGCTGAGGCAGGAGAATCGCTTGAACTAGAGAGTCAGAGGTTGCAGTGAGCTGAGATCATGCCACAGCACTCCAGCCTGGTGACAGAGTGAGACTCTGTCTCAAAAAAAAAAAAAAAAAAAGACATATGATCCAGTTTAAGACAGGGCAAACAGTATGAATAGGCATTTCTCTGAAGAAGACATACAAGTGTCTAACCAGCACATGAAAAGATGTTCAACATCATTAGTCATTAGAGTAATAAAAATCACAATGAGATACTACTTCACTCCAGCTGGGAGGGATAAAATAAGAAATACAGACAATAACAACTAGCAAATGTTGATGATGATATGAAGAAACTGGAACCCTGAAACATTGCCGGGAGTATTGTAAAATGGTGCAGCTACTTTGGAAAAGTCTGACAGTTTATCAAAATGTTAAACATAGTGTCATCACATGACCCAGCAACTGCACTCCTGGGTATATACCCAAGAAAAATGAAAACATATGTTCACACTAAAGCTTGTACACAAATGTTCATAACAGCATTATTCACAGTAGCCAAAAAATTGGGCACAATCGAAGCCAGTCACAAAGGGCTTTTGTGATGTTGTATGATTCCATTTATATGAAATGTCCAGAATAGGCAAATCCATAGAAATAGAATGTCCTGAAATCAGGCCAGGCGTGGTGGCTCATGCCTGTAATCCCAGCACTTTGGGAGGCTGAGGCGGGCGGATCATTTGAGGTCAAGAGTTCAAGACCAGCCTGGCCAACATGGTGAAGCCCTGTCTCTACTAAAAATACAAAAATTAGCCAGGTGTTTGTCACCATTTTTGTAAATAAACATGTCTGTATGCATAGAAGAAAATCTGTAACATGCAACAAACTGTTACCAGTGCCTATCACTGTTGAATGATTTGGATTATTTTTAATTTTATTCTTTTTGCTTCAGCTGTATTTTCTAATTTGTATGTAATAAATACCCATTTTATGCATAATTTAAGCAATTTTTTTCTTTTTTTTGAGACAGGTTCTCACTCTATCACCGAGGCTGGAGTGCAGTGGTGCGATCATGGCTCACTGCAGCCTCAGCCTCTTGGACTCAAGTGATCCACCTCAGCCTCCTGAGTAGCTAGGACCACAGGTGTGTGCCACCACGCCTGGCTAATTTCTGTATTTTTTGTAGAGACATGGTTTCTCCATGTTGCCAAGGCTGGTCTTGAACTCTTGGGCTCAAGTTATCCACCTGCCTTGGCCTTCCAAAGTGCTAGGATTACAGATGTGAGCCACCATGCCGGGCCTAAACAATTTTTTTTCTTTGAGGGGGTTTCTCCTTTCATACATAACTACGTTTCCCCTGGAGTCCTGGCCATAATCCCGAGTCTGGACTAAAAGGAGCATAGAGAACTTTCTTACATAGATAGCAGTAATTTTAGGGGTACCTATGGGTTGCAGCCATCACTGACCTTCAATGAGTACCTTTTCTTCCTTTTTAAAGCATTTTCAAGAGGCATTCACAAGTATCACATAAAAGAATGTATGATTCTGCCACAAAACCATTACCAGGACATACATGCATTAATATGGAAAAACTGATGTACAGATACAGAATGCAGAAAGCTGACTCTCTAAATCAGAGATGAAGAACACATGAGCGTGGGAGATGACGGAGCCCTTGGCTGGAGGGCACTGACAATTGTATTGTAATGTGATGTTGACATATCTATCTCCCAGACTGGAGCACAGTTCTGAGGTTGGAGACTGCAATACAGTGAACTCTGTGCTTGGAACACAGTAGGTGCCTGGTTATTTGTTGACTACTTTTCCCATTAAAATAACCTGAGTTGTTAGTCTTTTTATGATTGAATTATAGGAGTTTTAACATTTATTCTGGATACAAGTCCTCTGTCAGATATATGCCTCATGAATATTTTCTCTCAGCCTGTGGCTTGTCCCTGTTTTCTTAACTGTGTTTTTTGATAAATAGTTTTTAATTTATTAAATTTAAATTGATCAATTGATCAACTGATCATAGAGTTTGTTTCTCTATGGTTAAATCTTTCTGTATCCTAAGAAATCTTTACCTGTCCTAAGACCATAAAGAAATGTACCTATGTTTTCTTCTAAAAGCTGTATAGTTGTAGCTTTTACATTTAGGTTGTATTGAATCCTACTTTAACTGTCAAGCTCTTTCACTGATTGATTTCATTTTATTTTATGCTTTTGTATCTCAGAGAAGATCTTATTCCTTTCTGATCTCCACACAACCAAGAGAAAGGCCGAGCAATGGCTCCTCCATAGACGATTCCAATTCAGCCATCTAAGGGGAAGTTCTCCAGGCATCTCATGAGATTTTGTACTCATGCTTTGCCCACCCCATTCACATTTACTTACAAGGCACTTTTTATGTATGCATATCTTACTGATCCTTACATCAACTTCCAAAGGAGGCAGAGCCATCTTCATTTTTAAAAATAAGGAATTATTTTTATATTTATAAAATTTTAAAAAATGTTATATGATATAAAAATAATTTAAAAAAATTTTATATATATAAAAATTTTAAAATAATTATACACCCAGAAAAATGAAATGACTTGCCCAAGACCACTCAGTGAATAAATAACAGAATTAAGATGAGACTCAGGAATCCTAACTTTTGATCTTTTTTCTTGGTCAGTTAAGAATATAATGAGAGTAGACCTAGCATGGGGGCTCACACCTGTAATCCCAGCACTTTGGGAGGCTGAGGCAGGTGGATCATGAGGTCAAGAGATTGAGAACATCCTGGCCAACATGGTGAAACCCTGTCTTTACTGAAAATACAAAAATTAGCTGGGTGTGGTGGCACGCTCCTGTAATCCCAGCTACTTGGGAGGCTGAGGCAGGAGAATTACTTGAACCCAGGAGGCGGAGGTTGCAGTGAGCCGAGATCGTGCCACTGCACTCCAGCCTGGGCGACAAAGCGAGAGTCTGTCTTAAAAAAAAAAAATGAGAGTAAACTGTACATATGACACCACAGAGAACATTTACTGAGAGCGTATCTCAGGCTCCTTTCCTGGGAGTGACTTTTTCTACATCAAGACAAGTGGCCCATCCCCTCTAATGAAGGTGAAGAGAAAACAGTGAGCTGGAAGAGCTCATTTCAGACTTTTTCTGCCCTGACTAAATGGAGAGACATGGAAGATGAGGATGGGGGAGAAACAGAGGATCCAGAATAAGAAGAAAGTAGAAGACAGCTCTTTCAGAAGATGAGCCCTCTAGCTATGCCTACCAGGTAGAGTGGAATGGTGGGCTCAGCCAGTATAAAGTTATGAGGTCATGCTCTCCAAAATCAGGAAAAGCTTTCTATGAGAGCCCTTTTCCTGGCCCTTGTCCCAAATGGGTGTCTCTTGTCCTATTATAATACTATAAGTGATCATTTATTAAACACTTATGTGCCATTAATTTATATATATCATCTCTAAATGTACTGTAACATTTTTAAGTAGGCATAATCCTTCCCATTGTAAAGATGAGAAAACCAAAGCTTAGAGTGTGTAAGTAGTTTGTCCACATTTACACATCTGAGATGGGATTCAATCCCAGGTCTGCCCAATTTGTAATTATTTCCACTACAACGGCCTTCCAAAGAAAATGATTGGGGCCACACCCTCTTCCTAAAGTCCTTGCAATTACTCTGCTCCCAGAGCATCTGCTTCCTACCTGTCCTGGGTAGACCCACATTTCAGCCTCCATTTACACAGGTTATGTCTACCGGCCTCTCTATTCTATGAACCTACAGTCCCTTTCATACTGTCCCCAGGCTATGATAACACTTGCCAATCCCACCTCCTGCCCCAGTTCCCAGCCCTCATCTCCCTGCCCCATTCATGGTCTCAAGGCTCATTATTCCCTGCTCTTGTGGTTCACATTCCTAGACACTTCCTGGGAACAAATACACTCCCATAACTATCCAGCATATTCCTTAACCATATAGTTGCACAACATGGCACTACTGTCTCCTATTATCCTATGTTTTTGAACCCTCTACCAAGGTGGTTATTAGAAATGGGAATTTTTTTACAATTATTTTTTACAGACAGAGTCTAGCTTTGTTGCTTAGGCTACAGTGCAGTGATGCGATCATAGCTCACTGCACCTTGAACTCCTGGGCTCAAGTGATCCTCCCACCCAGCCTCCTTAGTAGCTGGGACTACAGGTGCACACCACAATGCCTGGCTAATTTTTAAATTTTTTGTAGAGACAGGGTTTCACCATGTTGCCCAGGCTGGTCTCAACTCCTAGGCTCAAGTGATCCTCCCATCCCAGCCTCTCAAAGTGCTGGGATTACAGGTGTGGAAATGGGAATTTAGGGAACTCTTTCTACCTGCTCAGCAATGGAGCAACTCTGGGCGGGAAAACCCCAGAAAGAAGGTTTCCTCTAGCTTTGGTCATCAGTGTCTTTCTGCCAGTCATAGAACCCCTTCCCTCTTTTTTGGCCTTCTGAATAAAGATGGGGAACACAATGGTCTTCAATTGCTCTTCTCTAGCAATCTGACCTTGACTTGAGATCCTGATAAGGTGCCTCTGTAGGACTGATAACGCTTTTCCTGACTGGTCCTCTCCTGGGTAGGATCAAAGGGAGGAGGGCAGGAGGGTAGATTTGGGAGTGTTAGCTTATGCTTAGGTCTCTTCTTGAAGGCTTACTGTAACAGATCAGGTGCCCTAGGCATTACAATGACTGTCCCTGCCCCTGCCAGACACTGTGGGGCACCCTGGTCAATGTTTTCTTACTCCACCCTTACCTGGAGCCTGGTGGCTCCCATAGCACCAGAAGATATGGTATGTGTGTCTATGTGCATGTATAGCTATGTGCATGCATGCATGCATGTATGTATGTATGTGTGTGTGTGGAGAGAAAGGTTTCCCAGCCCTCCTCTTGAAAGCTGCGAGGATCCTTGCATGTTCTCCATCATAAACTTACAGTAGCTGTAGGGGTGTCTCCTCCTATTAAGCCTTTGTTTCTAGATCTGACTCCCCCATCCCTGACCCATACTAGAAGCTTCATTAGAAATGCCCAAAAAGGAAGGATGAGATCTGCTTCTTGACAAAATAGCATAAATGGCATTAGCCCAAGCCTTGGCTTTTCCCCATCTCTGCACCATAGCCCAAATGTATGCAATGAGCTTGTCTAATGCTTGTGCTTCCGCATGTTCCCCCCTTTATCCCCCCCCGCACCGCCCCCCTCTCCCTTTTGGAAAGACAAAGCCAACCCTCAGAAGCCAGGGCCCAAATGTGCTGATCGGTATCCTAGCATCTCTGCCCTGCCCCTCCCCCAGCTCCCTGAGCCATACCTCTGTCAGGAGCCTTGAGCTGGACCCCTGATGCGTCTGTCCCTTTTGCACTCCGACCAAGCTCTACCGCGACAGTTCCAGCTGAGACACTGTTCCACGGGATCACACAGGGGAACTGGGCCGATTTCCTAAGATCTGATTTCTGCTAATACAATGGCATCGTTGCTAATGCAGGGAGGCTGCGCAATCCCAGCCCCAGTCTCCGTGCTGCTGCCGCGGCTGCTGGTGCTGCGGTGACGTTGCTGCTAAGGGAAGGGGGAAGGGAAAGGAGCAGGCAGGCCCACAGCACAGCCACTCAGCCTCCCTCCCTTCCAGCCCCTGTGGGCCCTTTAGCCTAGGGAAGGGGGAGGGTAGAGAAAGGAGCCAGCCACAGAGGGCAGTCAGTGCTGGAAGATGGAGCACTCTTAAGACAGCAAAGGAAAAATGGGGAGAGTTGTGTCTAGCTCCTCTTTTGTCCTTAGGCATCTCAGGGAAGATGTCTGGGCAGAGCCTTGGAGCTTCCTTCCTTCCTTCCTTCTTTAGGCTCCTCCTTTCATATCTTAACCAGAAACCTCTCCCTCCTCTTTTTGCCCATTGTGAATGACTCTGTTTTCCAGCTTTTTCCTCTAACCAGGATTCCAGACTAGCCTCAGGGTGGGGCAGTCAGCCTGGGAGGGGATTCCTGAAGCCCAGAAGGGAGGCTGCAGGGACCAGTCACCATTCTGCCAGCAGTAACTCGAACTCAGTCCTGGTGGATGGCCCACGAGTCTTAGCACTGGCCTTCCTAGAGAGACGGGGCGGTAGACAGGCTTCTGTACACTGGGTGGTGGTAAGTCTTAAGGACCATGGAGGCTGCAGGCCCTCTTCCTAACACGGTATTCAATTCAGTTCCCTGGGTCTTCAGAGGTCTACTCGCTGTGGCTGAAGTAGAACTGGCCCCTCTCACATACATCAGTTCTCGGTCAGTGCTCAGCTGGGTCCAGCTGGGTTTGTGTGAAGGCAGAATCCCTCTAGCCAGGCTGAGAGGCCAGGAAGCTTATCTCCCCAGGGAAAGGAAGGCAGGGAACAGGGAGTGGTCTCTCCTAGGCCACAGAAAAATCTCAGTTCTGCCTGGAGACCTACAGAGTCCTCTGCTCCTTCCCTGCTCCAGCCTCCTCAGGTTCTGGGCCAATTCTGTGGGAATAAGGAAAAAAGGGAGAAACTGCAGCTAGAGCCAGTTGTACAGGAAGTAGCGGTGAGGTCTCCGTCCACTTTGTGCCACTGCTCCCTGCTGCTACGCTTGAACACAGAGATAGTCTTAAGCAGGGCTTGGTCCCCAAACACTAGCCCTGCCTAGGGTTCCTCCCAAGGTGACTACTATCTGGACTCCACAGCCTGCCCTTGGATTTCAGGTCCTTAGAAAGAAGCCTTTGGAGAAACCACTGGCCAAGACCATAACAGCTATCCCTCAGGATCCAGAAGAGATGTAACTTTTCTTTTCCTTTCTTGTTTCTCCTATTCCCTGTGACACCCATGTGTCCACTGACACCATGCTGAGCTGAGTCAATTGTAGAGAGAAGAACAAAAACACACAAAGACACAAAGACCCATCTCCAGCCTTGACTTGTTTGAGCAGCCATGGCCCCTTGATCCTATAAAGCAAGAAACAGTGAGGAAAGGAAGGAAGGAGGGAGGCTGCTGTTCATAGCCAACCATTAGCGGTCATCTCAAGGAGGCTGAAAGGTGAGGAAATGGTGTCACTATGCTTTCCTCTCGCCTAGCTGATACCACAAAGCGGGGTTGGATAAGCATCTGTAGGTTAGGGCAGAGTGAATCTTCATGACCAAGCGTTTGGAGTTCGAGCCTCTTACCATGAGAGCTCTGGGCCCAGGGTCTTTGACTCTGAAATTTCTGCGAGGCTAAGTCATGCATTGTGCTGGACAGCCAGTGCTTCCAGTTGCCTATGGAAGGTGGCAGCTCTCAGACCTCTAGTGCTTGGCTTAATTCACTACATCACAGACAACCTTGCCACTTACTTCCTAACCACTACTGCCAAAGATCTAGGGTTTTGAGGAAAGATCAAATTATTTTCCAGCCAGAAACAAAACACAAATACTGTTACATTATAAACCTCGGCCACCTAACTAGTCTCCCCACTTGCAATTTACTTTTTAGTACTACCAGATTCATCTCCCTAAAGCACCACCTTTCTTCAACATGCCACTCCTCCTGCCCCTTTTAATGGTTTCTCATTACCCAGAGAATCAAGTTGAGCCTCCTCATTTTGGCTTTAGAGGTCATCCATCTCGGCTGTCTATTCTTTTTTTTTTTTTTTTTTTTTTGAGTTTCACTCTTGTCATCCAGGCTGGAGTGCAGTGGCGCGATCTTGGCTCACTGCAACCTCTGTCTCCCAGGATCAAGTGATTCTCCTGTCTCAGCCTCCCGAGTAGCTGGGATTACAGGCACCTGCCACCATGCCCCGGCTAAGTTTTTTACTTTTAGAAGAGACGGGGTTTTGCCATGTTGGCCAGGCTTGTTTTGAACTCCTGACCTCAGGTGATCCACCCGCCTCAGCCTCCCAAAGTGCTGGGATTACAGGTGTGAGCCACCGTGCCCAGCCTTGGCTGTCTACTCTACTCCACTCAACCTTGCCTTCCCATCATGCAGTCCTTGAAACATGTTTCAGAAACTCATTTCCACTCTGTTGTATTTGTTCATTCAGACTCTCCTTCCTGTTACACTTGGCCCTGTTCAAAATTATCCAAACCTACCAGACCCAGAGCAACTCCTCCATCAAGTCTTCTCTGATTACCCCAGAGCCAGAAATAATCTGTTCTCCGAACCAGTGGTTGCAGGTTGTTGATTTTACAGACAAGAAAACAACTTCCACAAAAAACGGGGATCAATATTGGATTGCCAACTTCTTATATTGTCAAGTAGGATCATTACAAAAAACTTTACTTTGATGATCATCATTTTATAAGAAAAAGCATACTGTACTTTCTCATTGCATTGCATATTGATGGCAAACTTCATCAGCAATAGCATCGGTCCCTGAGAAGTTTTGATTAAGTAAATCATGTCACTTAACATGGTTATTGTTCTTTTTTGCATATCTGCCTTAACATCTCTTCTAGACTGCAAAGTCGGAGTTATAGTCATCTGTACATCTCCATTATCCAGTATATAAGAATATCATTTTAATTTTGTATTTCCCATAAAACCTAGCATACTGCTTGGCATATAGAAGGTGTCTTATGCTTGGCATATGGAAGTCTTGTTGAACAAGAATAATCTAAAAAGAGATGCTTGGCCGGGCACGGTGGCTCATGCCTGTAATCCCAGCACTTTGAGAGGCCGAGGCGGGCAGATCACGAGGTCAGGAGATTGAGACCATCCTGGCTAACACAGTGAAACTCCGTCTCTACTAAAAATACAAAAAAAATTAGCCGGGCGTGGTGGTGGACGCCTGGAGTCCCAGCTACTCAGCAAGCTGAGGCAGGAGAATGGCGTGAACCCAGGAGGCAGAGCTTGCAGTGAGCCAAGATGGCGCCACTGCACTCCAGCCTGGGCTACAGAGCAAGAGACTCCGTCTCAAAAAAAAAAAAAAAAAAAAGAGAAGCTCCTTGTGTGTAAATCAGAATAAGTGGTGGGTAGACTTGACTCAATAGGCTTGAAAGAGAAGACTGTTTTCCATGTGAAAAAAAAAAAAATCTATCAAAAAGAAGCTTAGGCGGCCGGGAGCGGTGGCTAATGCCTGTAATCCTAGCACTTTGGGGGGCCGAAGCGGGCAGATCACCTGAGGTCAGGAGTTCAAGACCAGCCTGGCCAACATGGTGAAACCTTGTCTCTACTAAAAATACAAAAATTAGCGGGGTGTGGTGGTGGGCACCTGTAACCCCAGCTATTCGGGAGGCTGAGGCAGGAGAATCACTTGAACTCAGGAGGTGGAGGTTTCAGTGAGCCGAGATTGCACCATTGCACTCCAGACTGAGCAACAGGAGTGACACTCCATATCTAAAAAAAAGAAGCTTAGGCAACAAAGAAGTAATTCTTCATAACCTAGGGTTAGGCAACACATTCTTAGACATGATATCAAAAATACAAGTGACAAAAGAAAAAAACAGAAAAACTTTGACTTCCTGCTGGCAAAATGAAAAAATAAAAAAAAAAACATAAACTGACTTCATAAAAATTTAAAACTTTTGTTCTTCAAAGGACACAATCAAGATAGTCAAAAGAAAACCCACAGAATGTGAGAAAATTTGCAGATCATATATCTGATAAGGGATTTCTATCCAGAATATATTTAAAAACACTTACAACTCAGTAATAAAAAGACAATCCAATTTTTAAATGGGCAAAGGGGGCCAGGCATGGTGGCTCACACCTGTAATCCCAGAGCTTTGGGAGGCCAAGGCAGGCAGATCACTTCAGGTCAGGAGTTCGAGACCAGCCTGGCCAACATGGCAAAACCTGTCTCTACCAAAAAAATACAAAAATTAGCTGGGTGTGATGGTGCACACCTGTAATCCCAGCTACTCGGGAGGCTAAGGCACAAGAGGTGCTTGAACCTGGGAGGCAGAGGTTGCAGTGAGCTGAGATCGCACCCCTGCACTCCAGCCTGGGTGACAGAGTGAGAACCTGTCTCAAAAAAATAAATAAGTAAATAAATAAAAACGAGCAAAGGATTGTGTGTGTGTGTGTGTGTGTGTGTGTGTGTGTGTGTGTATTATTTGTAGAGATGGGGGTCTCACTCTGTTGCCCAGGCTGGTCCAAAACTCCTGAGCTCAAGTGATCCTCCTGCTTCGGCTTCCCAAAGTGCTGGGATTACAGGCATGAGCCACCATGCCTGGCTGGGCAAAGGATTTGAATAAACATTTCCCCAAAGAAGACACACAAATGGTCAACAAGTACTTATATAAACAAATGCTTAACATCATTAATCATTAGGCAGTACAAATCAAAACTAAAGTGAGATACTACTTGACCCCACTAGAATGGCTAAAATAAAAAAAGGCAGGCAATCACACATGTTGACAATGATGTGTAGAAATTGGAACCCTCACACATTGCTGAGGGCACTGTAAAATGGTGCAACCACTTTGGAAAAGAGTTCTGGCAGTTTCTCAAAAAGTTAAAGAGTTACTATTTGACCCCAGCAATTCTGCTTCTAGGTATATACCTACGAGAAACAAAAAACATCCACACAGAAGCTTGTATATGAGTATTCCTAGTAGCATTATTCATGATAGTCAAAAACTAGGAGCAACCAAAATGTTCATCAACAGAAGAAGGGATAAATAAAAGGTGGTACACACAATGAATTATTATTGAGCAATAAAAGGGAATGAAGTCCTGATAAATGCTCCAACATGGATGAACCTTGAAAACATGCTAGGTGAAAGAAGAAACACAGAAGGTCACATATTGTTTCATTCCATTTACATGATATGTCCAGACAAGGCAAATCTATAGAGACAAAAAGTAGATCAGTGGCTGCCAGAGGCTGGAGAGGCAGAGAGATGGGGAGTGCCTGCTAATGGGTGTGGGGTTTCTTTTGGGAATGATGAAATGTTCCAAAATTAGACTACAGTCATAGTTGCACAACTGTGAATATACTAAAACAATTGAATTGTATACTTTAAATGGCAAAATGTATGGTATGTCAATTATATTTCAATAAAGCTGTTAAAAACAGTGGCAGTTGCTGTAGGAGCTTGAGTGGTGTTGCTCAGCTCCACAGAGACTGAAGTCTTTGAGAACCCCATAACTGGGGGTATGGGTGAGAGGTGGAATATCAGGGTACCAGAAAGCAGAGGCTATCACTGCATGTCAATCCAAGGACGTCAGATAGTCCTCTCTTTCTTTTTTCAACACCAAATTCTTCTTTTTTTTTTTTTTGAGACAGAGTCTCGCTCTGTCACCCAGGCTGGAGTGCAGTGGCACGATCTCGGCTCACTGCAACCTCCGCCTCCTGGGTTCAAGCGATTCTCGTGCCTCAGCCTCTCGAGTAGCTGGGATTACAGGCATGCGCCACTATGCTTGGCTAATTTTTGTATTTTTTAGTAGAGATGGGGTTTCGCCATGTTGCCCAGGCTGGTCTCGAACTCCTGAGCTTAAGTGATCTGCTCGCCTAGGCCTCCCAAAGTGCTAGGATTACAGGCGTGAGCCACCACACCCAGCCTCGACACCAAAATTCCTTAACAAATGGACTCTTAAAATTCTCTCTCCACTCTCTCCTTCATTGTTTCTTAACCACCAGAAATCTTTTTTCTAATAACATTTGAAGTGTGTGAAGCAGTTATCATTTTTAACTTATAATATTGGAATCATCCAACACTATCAGCAGTCATCCTTTCCTATTCAACTCCTCTTTTCCCTTTGGCTTTTTTTTTTGAGACATTTAAGACAGTTTCGCTCTGTCACCCAGGCTGGAATGCAGTGGCTGATCTTGGCTCACTGTAACCTCCACCTCCCAGGTTAAAGTGATTCTCGTTCCTCAGCCTCCCAAGTAGCTGGGATTACAGGTGCATGCCACCACACCCAGCTATATTTTTGTGGTTTTGGTAGAGATGGGGTTTCACCATGTTGGCCAGGCTGGTCTTGAACTCCTGAGCTCAAGTGATCTGCCCACCTCGGCCTTGCAAAGTGCTGAGATTATAGGCATGTGCCATCAAACCCAACCCCTTTTGTCTTCTATAAACCAATCCTCCTAGTTCTACTTCTTAGATAATTCTTTCTTCGTTGTTTAATAAAACAATACCTGGCCCATATTTAAATGCAAATTTACAGCAAGGTTCAGATCTGAAGACTTTTCAATCTGAACAGTCTTTAGTACTTCCCATTACCTTTGCCGTTGATTTCCAAATCTTACATTCTTCCTGAACTTCCAGAATCAAATCTCCAATAGCCTATCAGATACTTATTATTACCTCAAATTCAACATATCGAAAACCAAATCGATTTTTAAAATTTCAAATTAGGTCTCTTTGGACTGCCTGTAACACAAACTTGAAAATAAGAGTCATCTGGACTCTCTTTACATTCAGACAACTACCAAGTCATGCTGAGTCTTCCTTCCAATGTTTCGGGCATTGACTTAATTTCTTTTTGTTTTGTTTTTAGACAGAGTCTTGCTCTGTTGCCCAGGCTGGAGTGCAGTGGCATGATCTCTGCTCACTGCAAGCTCTGCCTCCCGGGTTCACACCATTCTCCTGCCTCAGTCTCCCGAGTAGCTGGGACTACAGGCGCCCGCCACCACGCCTGGCTAATTTTTTTGTATTTTTAGTAGAGGAGGGGTTTCACTGTGTTAGCCAGGATGATCTCAGTCTCCTAACCTCGTGATCCGCCTGCCTTGGCCTCCCAAAGTGCTGGGATTACAGGCGTGAACCACCACGCCCAGCCCAACAATTTCCTGTTTTTACTATGTTTCCGCTACTATGCTAAACACTTACTTACATTATCTCATTTAATCCATATAACCACTCTCTAAGCTAAATGTTATTATCCTTACTTCATGAATGAGAAATCTGAGGCTCAGGGATATTAAATAATCTTCCCAATGTAACTCAGTCAGTAAATGTCTAAGCTGGGACTCAGATAAAGACCTGTCTGATTCCAGAGTCAGTATTCTTAACCACTTCCTCTATTGCCTCTCCAGTTCCTATCCCTACTCTATCCTCCAAATTCAGGCCTGTATTACCTCTCCTCTGAATTATATAGTCTTCTAACTAGTTTTCTTACCTTCGTTGTCTCTTGGTTCCCAGCTATCACATATACAGGCACAAGGGTAATCTCCTCAACTTCCTTCAGCAAGTCACTCTACTACTAAAACATCTTCAGTGGCTCCCTGCTGCCTACAGGATAAATCCAAATTCTTTTTTTTTTGAGAGAGAGTCTTGCTCTGTCGCCCAGGCTGGACTGCAGTGGTGCGATCTCAGCTCACTGCAAGCTCCGCTTCCCAGGTTCATGCCATTCTCCTGCCTCAGCCTCCCGAGTAGCTGGGACTACAGGTACCCGACACCAAGCCCGGCTAATTTTTTTGTATTTTTTAGTGGAGACGGGGTTTCACCATGTTAGCCAGGATGGTCTCCATCTCCTGACCTCGTGATCCACCCGCCTCGGCCTCCAAAAGTGCTGGGATTACAGGCATGAGCTACTGCTCCCAGCCCCAAATTCTTTAATGTGGCGTTCAAAGTTCCTTTCTACCAGCCAGGCGCAGTGGCTCACACCTGTAATCCCAGCACTTTGGGAGGCTGAGGCAGGCAGATCACTTGAGGTCAGGATTTCGAGACCAGCCTGGCCAACGTGGTGAAACCCTGTCTCTACAAAAATACAAAAATTAGCCAGGTGTGGTGGTGTGTGTGTGTAATCCCAGCTGCTTGGGAGGCTGAGGCAGGATAATCACATGAACCCAGGAGGCAGAGGTTGCAGTGAGCAGAGATCGCACCACTGTACTCCAGCCTGGGCGACAGAGTGAGACCCAGTCTCATAAAAAACAGAAACAAAAAACAACCAAAAAACCCCCAAAATTCCTTTCTACCTATCCAACCCCATTCCCGTCACATGCCGAATATACTCTGAGTTTTGGCTTTACTCACTGGGAAGATATCTGGATTGTTTTCCCCATTCCCTCCCACCCTTCATTTTAAGGATGTGGCTCAAATTCTACCATATCTGGAAGCTTTTCTTTATCATGGAAATCCTTCTCCTATACTTCAATACCAATTATACGTACAACTCATTTGGTATCAAGACTTGGCCATTTTATTATCTCTTGATGACGGTACATTTCTAGATGGTGGAGCTGTGTCTTATACATTGATAGGTAATTCTGAGCACAGGGCCTTGGCACATAGTGGAGGACCAATGATGTTTGATAAAGCTACTGAATGGCTGGCCAGGTAGGGTGGCTCACACCTGTAATCCCAGCATTTTGGGAGGCTGAGGTGGACGGATTGCTTGAGCTTATGAGTTGATACCAGCCTCGGCAACATGGTGAAACCCCGTCTCTACAAAAAATACAAAAATTAGCTGGGTGTGCTGGTGTGCACCTGTAGTCCTAGCTACTTGGGAGACTGAGGTGGGAGGAAGGCTTGAGGCCGGGAAGCAGAGGTTGCGGTGAGTGGAGATTGTGCCACTGCCCTCAAGCCTGGACAACAGAACAAGGCCCAGTCTCAAAAACAAACAAAAACAAAGCTACTGAATGGATGGCAAGCACAGCAGGCTAAATGGAGCCCAGCTGGCTTTGAGAAGGTCAGTCTCTTCTGAGAACAGCATATTTGATGAAGAAGAAGAAGGTAAGGAAGAAGAAAAACTGAAAGCTGAGCCTTAGTAAAGTGCTTAATAAATAAATCTTTAATGCCAAGATCTTAAACCCTTCATTACACACCATGCTCATTCTGAGGATGGAAACATGACTGAGCAGATATGTCTTCAGTCAGTACATTCCCTCCCATTTATATCCAGTCATGACCCTGGAGCAAAGGCTGTAAAGGTTGCAAAGTGCCAGCCTGACTGTCACATCTAGTGTGTCAATAGGTTTACGTGGCTTGCACAGTAAAAATGCCATCATAAACATTAGCAAAGGCTGCAAAGTGACAGACTGACTGTCACATCTAGTATGTCAATAGGTTTTATGTGCTTTGCATAGTAAAAATGCCACCATAAACATTTTGGGGATTTCTAGAAAAAAATCTAGATTTCCAGCTTGTTTTGCTTGAAAAAAAACCAAAAGAACTGGCTACACTAGGCCCTCATTCCTACATGACTAACAATCAGCTGGAGCTGAGAAGTGGTTCCCTTCATTAGATGAGCACGTGACCTTCAGTTTGCCGTGTTCCCAGCACTCCTCATGGCAGCTTCACTGGTTCATTTTACTTATTTGCATTATTTGTCTGGCTCCTATAAGGCATCTGAGTTTGCCAACTCTTGCCCCAGAATAACAGTTATGCATTTTCTTTATATCTCTACCCTCCTTGATTTGCCTCATATTTCCCCAATGATGTTCAATGCAATATTACTTGCAACAGAGAAAAATTGAGAATATTCTAAATATCCAATGGAAAAATGGCTAGTGAGCTACCCATGTAACGGAATATAATAGAACCATTAATATTGGGTATACAAGGTATATTCAATGGTATCGAAAAAGGCTTTTAAGCTAATTTATTTATTTTTTGTTTTCTTTTTTAAACTTTTTACAATTTTTTTTTAAAAATTTTTTTAAAGATGGGGGTCTCATTATGTTGGTCAGGTCTGTCTTGAATTCCTGGCCTCAAGAGAGCCTCCCACTTTGGTCTCCCCAACTGCTGGGATTAAAGGTGTGAGACACCATGCCCGGCCCTTTTAAGCTAATTTAAAAAGTAAAATATCAGTGCTTTGAGAGACTGAGGAGAGAAGACTGCTTGAGCCTAGAAGTTCAAGACCAGCCTGGGCAATAAAGCGAGACACTGTCAACACAAAAATTTAAAAATTAGTTGGATGTGGTGGCACATGCCTATGGTCCTAGCTACTTGGGAGGCTAAGGTAGGAGGCTGACTTGAACCCAGGACTTTTGGGCTCCAGTGAGCTATGATAGCGTCACTGCACTCCAGCCTGGGTGACAGAGCGAAACTCCATCTCAAAAAAAAAAAAAAGGTATCAAATCGCATAAAGAGAATTCTGCTTCCCACATTATGGTAATCAAGACATTACAGGGCCCCTTTCACTGCAAAATATGAAAAATATGAGATCCTGTATAATATATACTTTTTTTTTTTTAAAGGAATAGGGTCTCACTCTGTCACCCAGGCTGGAGTGCAGTGGCCCAATCATAGCCCGCTGCAACCTTGAGTTGGGCTCAAGCAATTCTCCTGCCTCAGCCCCCACAAGTAGGTGGGACTACAAGCATGTGCCACCATGCCTGGCTAATGTTTAAATTTTTTGTAGAGATGGCATCTTGCTATGTTGCCCAGGCTGATCTTGAACTTCCGGCCTCAAGGAATCCTCCTGCCTCAGCCTTCCAAAGCGCTGGGATTATAGGCATGAGCCACAGTGCCTGGGCAATATATACTTTTAAAAGCATTTCAGGTCTCTCAGTATATAGGAGACATCTCTGTGACTACTCTACCCAATTCCCCAAAAAGGGAAAAATTCATGAGCTATGCAGTAAGCAAGGGGGAGAACCAGGGTTCCTTGTCAGCCAATTCCCAGAGCATCACTGCAGCCAAGATGACCATACTTGAGCCACTGGGAAGGTGAGGGAGCTAAACCTGAGAGTTCTGCATTAAGCAGAAACAGGGAAGCCTGAAGGAAGTTCATCATGATCCATGGTAGGTGGTGTTCCACAGCTTTTGGTAGAAGCAGATATGAATCTTCTCTGGGGGAAAATATTTCCCAATCTAAGTCAACAAAATTCTCAAAATTAAAGATCAAGAAAAATTAGTTTATAATTAATGATCACAAAGATGCCATGAGCAAATAACAGAGAAAACAATAAATAATGTATTTAGATTGCAAGAACTTCAGATACCAAAAATGTCAGTTACAGAATATAAATCAGCTATGTGTGAAATGTTTTAAAATAAAAGATAAATCTCAAAGGTAAGCGAGTGGCAATGAATTATTAGAAATAACCAGGCAGATCTGAAAAAGAACGAAATATGTTCAGAAGTTAGAAACATAATTATTAAAATAAAAACTCAGCCAGGTGCAGTGACTTACACCTGTAATCCCAGCACTTTGGGAGGCTGAGGCAGGAGGATTGCTTGAGGCCAGGAATTTGGTAAGAGCCTGGGCACCATAGCAAGACTCTGTCACTAGATACATACACATGTACATACATATGCAAGCAAGCAAGCAAGCAAGCAGAATGTGGTGGTGCACACCTGTAGTCCCAGCTACTTAGAAGGCTGAAGTTAGAGGACTGCTTGAGCCTGGGAGATTGAGGCTAAAGTGAGCCATGAAAGCACTACTGCACTCCAGCCTGGGTGACACAGTGAGACCTTGTCTCAAAAAAGAAAAAAAAAACAACGAAAGGACAAATTTAACAGCAGAAAAGACAAAGTTGAAGTGAGAAATTAGTGAACTGGAAGATCGATCTGAAGAAATCACATAGAAACAGCACAAAAAAACAAAGGAACAGAAAAGTGAATGAGAAGTTAAGAGATAAGATAGAATGAAAATGTTTAATATACTTATAATCAGAATCTTTGGTAGAGAATCAAGGAGAGGTAATATTTGAAGAGATAATGACAGATAATATTTCAGAAGTTATTAGAAAACAAGAATCCATGGATTCAGGAAGTAAAACTATCTCAGGATAAAGAATATCAGTAACAAGTATCTAAACTGTACATCAGCAAAAATTTTTTGTGTGGCTTTTATTTTGTTTTGAGACAGGGTCTCTCTCTTTTGCCCAGGCTGCAGTGGCACCATCCCAGCTCACTGCAACCTTGAACTCCTGGGCTCAAGTGATCTTCCTGCCTTAGCTTCCTAAAGCTCTGGAATTACAGGCATGAGCCACTGTACCCCACACCAAGTAAAATCTGAATGCAATACATTTAATAGTTAACAAGATGAGGTAATATCTGTTTGAGTGTTGTGTAATCCTAGGCCAGTTATCTTGCCTTTCCCTGCCCCCATTTCCTGTAGAATGGTGATGAAAATACCACCAACATTAAGTGAATTAATACTATCAAGCACTTAAATTGTGCCTGACATACAGTAAATACCCAGTAAGTGTGATACTATTATCAAGTGATAAGATGTTGGTTAATATCCAAAACCCCCACAAAGGAGATTACACAATTCTGACCAAAATAGGACGGTAACCTTGGAGAAACATGAAAAGACTGGATATGGATACCTTTCCCCACTCCTCAATCCCAGCATCTTCCAGAACTCAGTAGTGGTCTGGGCAGCTTTCATAAGCAATAGAGAGATCCAGGGTGCTCAAAATAAAGCAGGCATGAATATAAACATTGGTTACTGAGTCTTCCTGTGCCTGGACCAGGCTACTTTATGGGGAGTTGAAGGCTTAGGGGAAACATATGCCCCCTACTATAGATCTGAACAGTGGTCTATTCAAAACAGTACATGAAAGTGCTCTGTAAACTGACCATTTTATAGAAATATAAAGCACTGTTAAAATGCTAGGAACTCACTCTGCATGGCCACCACCCAAGCAGTTGGGACTACAGGCACGTGCCATCACGCCCAGCTAATTTTTGTATTTCTTTTCTTTTTTTTGGTAGATAGGGTTTCATGTTGCCCAGGCTGGTCTCAAACTCCTGAGCTCAAGCAATTCGCCCACCTAGGCCTCACAAAATGCTGGGGTTACAGGCAGAAGCCACCACACCTGGCCTAAAAAATATGTTTAAAGGTGGCTGAGGCTTGCTGGAGTGCAGTGGTGCGATCTCGGCTCACTGCAACCTCCACCTCCTGGGTTCAAGCAATTCTCCTGCCTCAACCTCCCGAGTAGCTGCGACTGCAGGAGTGTGCCTCCACGCCAGGCTAATTTTTGTATTTTTAGTAGAGACGGGGTTTTGCCGTGTAGGCCAGCTGATCTCGAACTCCTGGCCTCAGGTGATCCGCCTGCCTCGGCCTCCCACAGTGCTGGGATTACAGGCATGAGCCACCGTGCTCGACCAAAAATTCTTTTTAAAGGAAAAAAAAAAATAGGGATGTTGGTTAAAGTTTGTAGAAGAAGTAATTAGACACCCAGTCCCCACCAACAACCCTACACTGTCAGGAGACCACTGGTCTCCTGCTCCTCAGGATTACTGGAGATTTATTTCTGGAGAACTTTGAGTGGAACTGCATTCGACTCTGGAAAACAAGGCATGGAAGAAAGCAGGATGAGAGGCCAATCTGAAAACTGAGGGGTTAGGTGAAAATCTCCAAAGAATTGCTAGACTTCTTCCTTCTATTTCAGGATAATACCAACAGCCAGACTTATTTATCCCACCCTACCCCTGGTAGATTATTTCTCTGCAGAAACTGAACTACCTCAGAGAAAAGAATGTCAAATTCTCTGGGGGTTTCCCCACACAAAAAAAGGCCAGCCTGTTCCACCTGCCCACCAGACAAGTTTGCCAGTTGATATATCTTTCCACTCTCACAGAACCTCCAGTGTTTTTAAATGGCTCATTTTTATATCAGTAGCCAAGGGATTACCAGAGTTTTTTTTTTTTTTTGAGATGGAGTCTCGCTCTGTCCCCCAGGCTGGAGTGCAGTGGTGCGATCTTGGCTTACTGCAAGCTCCACCTCCCGGGTTCACGCCATTCTCCTGCCTCAGCCTCCCGAGTAGCTGGGACTACAGGTGCCCGCCACCACGCCCGGCTAATTTTTTGTATTTTTAGTAGAGACGGGGTTTCACCGTGTTACCCAGGATGGTCTCGATCTCCTGACCTTGTGATCCACCCGTCTCGGCCTCCCAAAGTGCTGGGATTACAGGCGTGAGCCACTGCACCCGGCCTGGGATCACCAGACTTTTGAGGGCAGCCTCCAACAGAAAACAAAGAGTACAACAAAAACATAAAATAGGAGTCTGGGAGAAACACATAATGCAGAACAAAACAAGACAAAACCCAACACATGAGGTCATTTTATCACTTTATTGATGATGCTAATTTTGAACTAGTCCTTCGTTAAGATAGTGTCTGTCAGGTTTCTCCATTGTAAAGTTATCATTTTCTCCTCTAATTAATAAGCAATCTATGGAGAGATTACTTTTAGATTAGATAAATAACCTGTTCCCATCAAACTTTCATCCAATCATTTTAGCATCCATTGATGAGTTTCATCTGAATCAGTTATTTACTATGATGGTTGAAAAATGACAGGTTTGTTTTGTTTTGTGTTTTTGAGGCAGAGTCACACCCTGTTGCCCAGGCTGGAGTGCAGTGGCCCTATCTTGGCTCACTGCAACCTCCGTCTCCCACAGCCTCCTGAGGTGCTGGGATTACAGGCATGTGCCCCATGCCTAGCTAATTTTTTGTATTTTTAGCAGAGACAGGTTTCACCATGTTGGCCAAGCTGGTCTCAAACTCCTGGCCTCAAGTGATCCACCCACCTCAGCCTCCCAAAGTGCTGGGATTACAGGCATGAGCCACTGCGCCTGGCCAAAAAATGACAATTTTCTATTATTCCTTCTACATTGATTAGTTGGCATTCTAACATAATAAAGATTTCCCTTTTCCTTCCTTTCTTAATTTATTGATTTAGGATAAATATGGACCCCTGGATTTTAAAAAGTCAGTGGGTCATAATCCATTACTGATTTTGATGTTCAGACTGCCCCAGATTTGGCACTATTTGGCTTAAATTTTTATTTTTTTTTTTTAATTTTTTGAGATGGAGTCTCCCTCTGTTGCCCAGGCTGGAATGCAGTGGCCCTATCTTGGCTCACTGCAACCTCCACTTCCTGGACTCAAGCCATCCTTCCACCTCAGCCTCCTGAGTAGCTGGGACTACAGGCATGCACCACCATGCCTGGCTAATTTTTGTATTTTTTGTAGAGACAAGGTTTCACCATGTTGCCCAGGCTGGTCTCAAACTCCTGGGCTCAAGGATCCAGCCACCTCAGCCTCCCAAAGTGACAGGATTATAGGCATGAGCCACCACGCCCAGCCACTATTTGGCTTTTTTTTTCATTGTGAAGACCTTTATTGCTGTGTATGAATTTTTAAAAGCTAACTACTTATTTTGGAATAATTTACAGTTATAAAAAGTTGCAAAGATAGTTCAGAGTTCCTGTACCTCTTTTAACCAGTTTCCCTAATGTTACCATCTTACGTAATCAAGGTACATTTGTTAAAACAAAGCAATTAACATTGAGTACATTACAATTAACTGAACTGGCAGACTTTATTTGAATGTGGCTGCTTTTTTCACTTATGTCCTGTTATTTAGCTTTATAAAAAACATTATAATTTTATAAAACATATAAGCTAATTAAAAACAAAGCCACCCTCACAAAAGATATGCAGATGTATAATGCAGGCTGCAGATAAACAGTTTAGATGTTGTTAATAAGTATAGCTTAGCAGAGAAAAGTTTTGCATTTCCCACAATCAAGACAATGAGTAGTTTTGGGAACTGTCCAAGAAGGTAATTTTTAGCAAAAGTAAGCAGTACTAATCAATAGACAGGACTATATGATTTTAGTATACCTCTATGCCTGGTCTTCCCAATAATCACTCTGCTGACCTTTCACCTCAGTACACCAGGGACAGAGGTGGATTGAAATCATACAAATCTTTGGAAATCAACAGAAGGTACTTTTGTTTGTGCTGACTTACTGGGTATCCTCTCCAACAGCGACAACCTCAGTTAAGGTAATTCCTTTTGGCTAAGTTTTCACCTCAGACTGCATGATTGATTCCAGTAGCAAAGGTCAGAAATGCTCAAACCATAACAAATCAAAATAAATTATTACATACTGTACTCTATTCTCTGATCTAGAATTATCCTGAGGCTATCAATTAATATCATCTTGTGAGCCAATTAATCAAGCAAGCAATCAAGCCACAAGCATCTACTGTATTCTTCCTGTGTATAAGGAGCTATGCTGGATGTTCAGGGGTAATAGCCCAATTTGAGGGGCTCATAATTTTGTTAAAATAATTGCCAATATGCCTCTGGAGGCCAGAACAGCAAAAAGAAAGTTTCAGGGTGTAAGGGTTAGAGCAATGCTTTTAATTTTTCAGCCCCAATACATAAAACAGCTACCCTGGTTGAAGCAGAGGAGGCCTAATGCCCCATGCACTCCAATTCCCTCTCCTTACTGTGGGGGGCCCCAGAGGCACCTCCAGGGAACCCTAGGCAAAGGCAGAACTGACCATAGTTTGTTGGGAGTTAGAGATATGGGGAGTGAAATAATTAACTGACAGAAACATCTCTCTTTTTTCATGCCTCCCAAATCAAATGTTTGTAAACAGATGTTGATTAACTTCACCAATAGCAAACCTAACTTCCCAGAACAGAAATAAACTTTGTACACGAATTTGGAAAGTCAGCTACCCTCCACCCTTGCCATGAGATTAGATGGAGGCTCTGAGTTTCCTATAGGACAAGTACTTCTCTGTGAAATGTGTGAGAGAGGCTCAAAGAATTTGGAGATTTCAGAACTGGTGGTAACAGTGATTCCTGTGGGTGTCTAGGACTGAACTGTAAAGAGAGAATAAACAAGTTCTTAGATGCTGAGAGCACCTGGCTATGGCATCAGGAGTCTGATTCCATAAATGGAATAGCAGCCAATGCCCAGGAGGTCATCTGTCTTTCCTCCAAGTAGAGTGTAGCTGCTGCTAGCTGAGGAGGCCACTGTTTCTAACTCGTATCATGTTATTTTGGACTCCAAGTGAGGCCAGACGGCATGCTGGGAGTGTGTTGAAAGGGCCTAGCCTGAAGGGCTGTCCCAGACACACCAGTTGCTGCCTTATTAGGCTTCCTTAATATAGAGTCCTCTTTCGAAGCACAGAACTTGGTTTGCTTTTGGCTTCTCACATATGTTGTAGAAAAGTTCAGCTAAACGTCCACCCCCAAAAGTCAAAGACAAACATTCCAGAAGAGGCTTGGCTCTGAAGTAGAATGGGCTTAGCAGCCTAAAAGGTAAAAGACCCCAGGCGCCCAAGGCTCCAATTCAGTAAATGGAGACTGCAGCATTGGGAAAGTATACCCAGGAAAAGAATAAGCTAGAGCCATTGAACCTCACTGAGCTGAAAGAGTTGCTTTTCTTTATTCCATTAAAATCTGATGATAATAAACCTAGCTTTGCCCCTAGGGTCTCTATGCTCAAAAGGGATTCAATCTAGAAAACAAAAAATTATTTTCTTCTGCTGATCCAGCCAGCAAAAGTATACACCTTTCTCCATTAGGCCAACCATTTGATTCCCTCCTTAGCTCAACTTGTAGCACCTGTTTGGAAGCAGCGGGCTCAATCAGATGACCTCTTAAGGTCCTTTTCAGGTCTAATTATAACCTAAGCCAAATTAAAACCTGGAGCCCAAGGGAAGGTTCCTATGCAGTGTGTTAAAAAAAATGACCTCCTGCATTCCAACATGAATACAAATACACATAAACACACCTATACTCCCAGGTGCCTGGCTTCTAACTGCTAGCTGTAAGTCTCTAGAGACTGGGAATTTGTTGTAAACCCTATTTCTTTTGAGGATGTATTAGGGGGAGAGAGGAAGACTATAGGGAATAAGGAAAGATTTGGTTCCTACCTTGACAGACCGAGTTCTTCAGATGAGGTGATGGAGAGAGCAGCAGTGAGTAAGGCCCACAGGCTAAAGTCTCTCAATGCTAGGTGTAGGTGAGCAGCAAGGGAGCAGGAAGCCACCAAGACCAGAGACAGTGTACGAGGGGTGGATGCTGAAAGCCCCAGCACAGACTGCTTTGCTTGGAGGATGGCCCTCAAGTGTGTATTTGCAGGAGAAAGTTAGCTGGAACAAAAAAGGCCCCTATGCTGCTCTTTGACTGCTCAGTGTGGTCAGTCCTTTGGCTGTGTGGGCAGCCCTCTGGCTATTCCTTTTAGCTCCTGGGCTTCAGGAAGCAAAAATCAAAGTGTACTCTGCTCCCCCACCCCACAGGCAGTGGACTGAAGCACACAGACTAGGAAGCTGCTATCCAATCAGAATGCCCAAAGCTGTAAATAAAAGGCCACATACGCACAGTAAAGTAGGCTATGAGAAGAATCTAGATTGAATTACAGAAGCCAGTTGTGGGGCCAGGGTGGAGGAGGTTGGAAAAAGAGAGGGGTGGGGGAAGCCTAGTTGTCCTTCAAGGAATCTTTTTATTCAAGTACACCCCTCCCTCAGCATGACTGCCAGAACCATCAAAGCCTTGTTCCCCTGGGGAACCAGGTTCCAATCTGGCCATGTTCTCTACAGAGGAGTCATGGTCTGAGACTCCTCAGGCAGAGTCAAAGCCTTTCTCTGGGAGGCATCTCATCTTCCAGGAGGCTTGCCCTGCTAGTCTCTGGAGTCCAGCTCACCATGGACAGTAAGAGCACTGGGACTGGCTCACTCGCAGGTGGCAGCAAAAACCATTTCTGTGTACCAGTAACTATTGCTTTAGTTGTAAGACTAAAGTGAGAGTAACTTATATATTTTTGTTTACTTAAGCCCCCACATTTAAAAAGCAGGTAGCTGAAGCCTGGCCTGGGTCCTGAGTATTCAGCAGCCTAGGTTCTATAATGATTCACAACATGGATTTTGGTGTTAAGACAAGTCTGGGTCCAACTCTGACACATTACTTGCCAGCTGTGGAATTCTGGGTGGTCACTCAACCTCACTAAAACTTCAGCTTCCTCATTTGTAAAACTGTCATATTTTCCCTGAAAAGCTTGAAGTAAAAATAAGTAAGATATTGTACATAAAGTACCCAACACATGGTAGGTGCTTAGTAATAAGTCATTATTATTATTATATCTTTGGCAGATGACCAGTGGAGCTCTTTCCTCTCTCCTGTCCCAATTTCCCAGAAAATCTAAAGTCTTCAGGTCAGGGAAGTGGCAGGCAAAATCTCTTTAAAAGAGCCAAAGGAAATGGAAGGGTCACATTCCTTTTTTTCCTCCCCCACACTAGGACTGAATCAGTCATCCTGTCTGTGGCCATCATACTCTAGGCTGGTAGGCTGGCCCTGGGAGCCTCAAGGCTCTCCAAAACCAAAGATACTAATCCACCGCCAGTGTTACCTGTTGTAGGGCATGCTCCTAGACTGATGGTGCTTCTCCTGGGGCCCCAGATCATATTCCAGTAGGTGAAGGGGAGAGAGTGTGATCCCAAGTTGGCAGGATAGGTTTTGTCCAGGCTGTTGTCTGACCATCACAGCTGCCTGTGAGGCCTATGGGTTAATAATAGCAACTCTGATGCCAATGGATTAAGACAGAACTGTAGGAGGTGTTTATTTTTACGCTCTGGCGTCAGTATCAAGTTCTACTGGTTACTGCCCAAATCTAGGGCAGCTTCCTGCTCCAGGAGTGGCCTCAGGCTTCTCCAGGTTACTAAGTTGGATTCTACGGGAAGCAAGTCTTGTTGAAAACAGTTCAGCATTAAACAGGACAGGGAAGACGAAGGGGAACAAACAGAGCTTTCATATGTCCAGCTGTCTAGTGCCAAACCTCTGGGACCAGATGGACCTCAAGTTGAAAGCTGTTGCTTATAGTACTCTCTTGAGTCAGGTAGGCCCTGTTGTTCTGGACAGGGTACACACATACACACACACAAATTGGCTGCATTGAAATCATCTGAATAAAAACAAAGAAAGACTGCCACTCAACTACCCAGAAGCTCAGCCTTATCAGTCATAAGTCCCAGACTAGGGCACTGAGTGCTGACATTGTAAAGAAAAAGAAAAAGCCTGTTTGGGAGGGTTTTATAGGAATTTGAGACAGAGGATGGGTTAGGCCAGTCCTCAACCGATCTGTATAGTTTTTAGCACGTACATCAAATTCCTTGAAAATCTGCCACCAGAGATTTTTTCCTAGACATGACACACTAGGATAGAAATCTTGTTGGGCCAGGAGCTGTGCCTAGATAATCTCCTGAAAGCTTCTTCATCCCTGCAAGACCTAGAGACTGGGGTCCTAGGGACTTTATACTTTGACTACAGTATCTGGAACTCTGTGGATATCCTGCTAACCTCCCTGAAAGGCAGCTCCTGCCAGAGTGTCTACTTGCCCCATCAGGCAGACAGGAGCATGAGGAGGCTGACAGCTGGAAAGCTGATGTAAATAGATGTAGACTAGCTTACTCTGGAGCCAGGAGCACAGCAGACTGCTGTGGAATGACAAAAATGTACCACACACCAGGTAGGAATGCTGAAGTGCAAACAAAACAGCCGAGCAGCCAAGCACACAGGAACAGTGACTCTGTCATCTTCCTGCAATCCTAGGTCATCATCAGTGACACGACATGTTAATACCTTAAGAAGTCAGGGTGCTGGCAAGAAGACAGGCTGGTGAGGGACTCATTTAATACATTTTTTCCCTGTCATTCAAGGATGATCCACTTGGTCATCAGAACAACAGTGCAGCCTTAGAAACAACCAGATTTGATCACTAGTGATAAAGGAGTTTGATCTTAGCTCCATCTGGAAACTACCCATGCCTAGGATAGTGGCAGGATGCCCAAAGACAGGAACACTGCTTTCATTCTTGGGTTTTCCTCCAACTTGCTGGGTCATCTGGGGCAGAGTACCTGTTCTCTCAAAGCTCCATATTTACCATCTAGTAAAAGGACTAACTGTATCCATCTTCTGGTGTGTGGTAGGAAAAAATATTTGAAAAATAAAAAGAATAAGGGAAATGTAAATGCTGTAGTCTTTAGACTAAAGTATTTCAGAAATATCATGGTCATCCACGCATGCAGGCAGAGCGCCCTGGCCTTCTCCTGTGTCCTCCCTCTTCTAGGGTCACAGTGGCCACATTAGGAAATAGGCCCAGTCTGTGCCCAGAGATGCAGTGCCCTTCTTTCAGGCCTATAATCCCCACCTCTGGTTTGAGGAACAGACGAAATAGGAATATGCTTACCTAGACATAAGGTATTAATTTCCACTAACTTATAATAAGGAATTTAGAAATACATAAGCAAAAGAAACAATTTCACTTACTCCCTTGTCTATCTAGCAGCCACAAAGCTAATTCTCCCCTGTTTGTGGGCCCAGGACACTGATCTGGGGCCTGTATCCCACTGATGTGGCATTCAGCAGCAGGACTCACTGGAACATAGCCTAAAAGGCCTGAGAGAGCAACATTAATGAGGGATGTATTCTACTGCTCAGTCAGAACAAAGGCGATACTGTATTCTAAACCTAACACAAGCCTTCAGTCTTTCTAGCCCAGCGATCCCTGAGTATTGGGTTAGTTTGCCAGGTCTCTGGAACTCCCGAAGAGAACTAGAAATCTATTCTTTGTTGATGGTGACACCTACTTTTTCTGTAAGTCTCTACCCTGGGATTCAAAACAGATGTTCAAACCTCCTGCAGCCTCTGGTGAGACCCACTTCCTTTCAGAGAAGAGGCCTCAAAATCAGGGATCAGCAAACTCTTTCTGTAAATATTTCAGCTTTGTGGGCCATATAGTACTGCCACATCTTTTTAAAATTTTTTTCTTGTAAATTTACAATTTATAATTGTATGTATCTATGGATCACGAAGTGATACTATGATTTATGAATATCATGTGGAATAATTAAATTAAGCTAATTAACATATCCATTGCCTCAAATACTTACCTTCTTTTGGTGAGAATATTTGAAATTTACTTTCTTAGCAATTCCCTTTTAAAAAAACAAACAACAACTCTTTAAAAATGTAAAAGCCATTCTCAGCTTATGAATGAAAACACCCTGGCAGGGACCATAATTTGCTGATTGACTCCTACTCTAGACCTTAAAGGCCTCTCTATGCAAGGTCTGTATCTTAGAATTCTGACCCTGGTGGGCCTGCCTAGAGATCCTCTTTCCACAGGGCTGACACGGTTCTCAGAGGCAACTCCCCTCTGAGGAGTCACTGAGGAATGTGAAGGAAGAATCCTGAGGTTATTTGTATTGGAGCTGACAGACTGGCTAATTTCCCTCACATAAAACACTTCAAAACCATCTATAGAATTTAGCTTATTGCATTATCATTCTGGAGTGTAGAATGAACCATAAACCATCTTTATCTTTCTGTTTCTGCTTAATACTATCCCATACCCCTACAAGGCCTTTTTTTTTCTTTCCCCCAAGTTCCAAATCCACACTTGAATTGGCTCAGGCCTGAACTCACTCCCCATTCTATATGTGGTATGGCTGTGGATAGCAAGGAAACTATCAATAGACAGATGGATTTGGACACAGTAAATATGGATGAGAGGCATGGGGGTAGGGGTGAGCAAAAATTTAGGGCTGACTTTAATCTGGGCACCATCACAAATAGTTACAGGTTCTGTAAACAGGTGGCAAACTGCTATAGAAGCATCCTAAGAATGATATAGAAATGGTTAGGAATCTTTGTAGTTATACCTCCCCACACACCAGAAGCTAGAGGAAACAAATGACTTATTGCTAAAGAGTAATTCTTCTAATATTATTAGCAATTATTTATTATCTACTATGTTACTCACCATGCTAGATGTTTGTCATAAGCGCATTTCTCTTTTTTTTTTTTTTTTTTTTTTTTGAGACAAGAATCTCGCTGTGTCGCTCAGGCTGGAATGTGGTGGCGCAATCTCGGCTCACTACAACCTCTGCCTCCCAGGTTCAAGTGATTCTTGTGCCTCAGCTACCCAAGTAGCTGAGATTAGAGGTGCGCGCCACCATGCCCAGCTAATTTTTGAATTTTTAGTAGAGATGGAGTTTCCCCATGTTGGCCAGGCTGTTCCCAACTTCCTGGCCTCAAGTGATCCTCCCACCTCAGCCTCCCAAAGTGTCGGAATTATAGGTGTGAACCACTGTGTCTGGCCCATAAGTGCATTTCTAATCCTCATGATAACCGTGCAAAGTAGATATTATTATCTCTATTTTACAGTTGAGGAAACTGAGGATCTTGCAGAGATAAACTTTATCTAAGATCACAGACCCAGAAAGTAGAGAAGTTGGGCTTGCAATTTTTGTCTGACTCAATCTAAAGCCCTTGCTCTTTCTACTATAATATACAGCTAATATCCTTGATAGAGAAAAACAATAAGCAAATCCCTTAATTTGGGTCTTGTTTGACTTTGTTTCAAATAGCAGCAATCGATGATGTTAGCTGTGGGCTTGAAAAAAAAAATAGCAGCAATCTGTTGGTCTGCCTTTTTCTATACTCTGAATATTAATGAATGACAAGGTACTAAAAATCACAAGTATGACACTTTTACATGGTAGTGATTCAGGTCAAATGCATACAGCTGTATTCCTACCAAAGCTGGAGACATACATGAGCTAACACTTGTTTACTCTTTACAAGAAAACGGGATTTTTAATGTTAAATCTTTGCCTCGTAGCCAAATAAGTCTCTTTTCAACAGTGGTATATGTGTATCTTTGTGTGAGCTGTTATTTTGTAAACAATTTAGCTGAATTAAATTAGTTCCCCACTTTTCCAGGTCCCAGATTATTAGTTGCCAATCAAATATTTATTCTCCCTTTATCTTTCAAATTAACAGAACCCTGATATTCGGCTAGGTACAATGCTACCCAAGTAAAATTCCACATTTCTCCCTCCCCTGCAAGTAGGGGTGGCCATTTGACCGAGTTATGGTGGAATTGTTGTGTGCAACTTCTGGGTAGTCTCTTTATGATGAACAGGGTGCAACCTTCTTCATCTCTTCCTCCATCCTGCTGCTAGGAAGGTAGCTGTGATGACTAGAACTATAGTAGGTCATCTTGTGCCATAAGGATGGCCTAGAGATAGCCGAGCAAAAAACTGGAAAGGGTGTGGGTCTCTAATGACTGTGGAGCTGCCATACTAGCCCAGGACCATCTATCTCTGTACTTCCGTTGCTGATGAGAGAAAAAAACCTCCATCTTATTTAAGTCACCAGTGTTGGGTTTCTGTTACTCATATCTATTGCTACTTTATACATCCTACCACATTCTCCATCCCTACTGCTACTAAAGAGCAACCTATATTTATCACTTATCTAAGTTCCTACATCAACCTCTAACCTGGTTTCCCTTCCTAGAATCATCTTAATAGACATCAAATGAAGTCTATTTATATCACTTTCATGCTTAAAAACCCTTCGAAGGCTTTCCATAAAATCCAAATTCCCTAAAGGTATATGCTAGCCTTGATAAATCACCTCTTCACTCTCATCTTTTGCCCTGTAGTCATACTATCAACTCGGATCAGCTCGGTACTGATTGGAACACTGCCCCTCCATTTGTCTAACTCCTAATCATCCTTTAGGTTTTTAGCTAAAATATTCCAAATCCAATGGCCCTTCCCAGGCTACTGGTTGTATTTTCTCAAAGCACCTTGCACTTCTCTATATTGTGTTTTATACTTGTTTATTTGGCTTCTAACACTAGACAGCAAGTTTCATGGGGCAGGAACCCTGTCTACCATTATTTGTTGGTGTATACTCAGAACCTAGCAGTGTCTGGGATGCATAGATTAATATTTTCAAATGAATTAATGAAATTTTCAAGAGAGCAGCCAAGCAGTATGTAGCAAAATTTGAAATAAGCATACTCTCTAGTCTATTTCTATAAAAACGTATTTAAAAGAAATAACATTATAAAGACACATAAAGTAATATATATATATATATATATATATATATATATATATGTTTGTTGAAGCACTATTTACAAAAGCAAAAAAATACTATTTAAAACAATTTTTTATAGAGACAGGGTCTTGCTATGTTGCCCACACTGGTCTCAAACTCCTGGGCTCAAGTGATCCTCCTGCCTTGGCCTCTCAAATTGCTGGGATTACAGGCATGAGCCACTGCACCTGGCCAAAATTTAAAAATATTTTTAAAATCCCCTCAGTAATGAATTGGTTAAATAAATCATGATGCAATCCATGCAATGAAGTATTCTACAAAACACAAAAAGATGTGTCAGAATTGTTGTCAAGATGAAACTATGCTCATGATACAGTTTTTTTTTCTTTTAAATAAGCAATTTACAAAGTACAACTCTCAGGTTGGGTGCAGTGGCTCATGCCTGTAATCCTAGCACTTGGAGAGGCTGAGGCAGGTGGATCACTTGAGGTCAGGAGTTCAAGACCAGTCTGGCCAACATGGCGAAACCCCATCTCTACTAAAAATATGAAAATTAGCTTGGCATGGTGGCACGTGTCTGTAATCCCAGCTGCTCGGGAGGCTGAGGCATGAGAATCACTTGAACCCAGGAGGCGGAGGTTGCAGTGAGCCGAGATCGTACCATTGTACTCCAGCCTGGAAAATCTCTTCAGGTATAACTCTTCTTTTACAAGTGAGACTCTGTCTCAAGCAACAACAACAACAACAACAACAACAACAACAACAACAACAAAACAAAGTATAATTCTCAAGTCCAAAATCCATGGTTGAAAACCTAAGAATGGCTGCTCTTTCAGTTCCCTTTGATTTGTGCTTCTGCTTCTTAGCAGTCATCATCATCGTCATCCTAGTAGTAGTAGCAATTAATATTTATAGTCATTAGTGAGTACCTCACTGCCAGACATTATAACTGCATGTGCATCATCTCATTTAATGCTGACAAAACTATACAAGGAGGGAACTGTTAGGGTGATGTGAAATGGTCAATATGCATTTTTTTTAACCTGCAAAAATGCCCATTTCATAAGGTTAAACTTAATGTTATTATTTCCCAGGGGCCCAGAGGTTTTACAAAAATTGTCCATGTTTTTATAATTGGGGAGTGGCTGAGCTGAGTTTCATACCCAGGTGTGTTTGGTACCACAGTAACTGTGCTCTTTTGCTTGATGTATAAAAGAGGGACGGGAGGAGGAAGGAAAAACAAAACAAAACAGAAAACAAAGTATAACTCATGGTATGATCCCATTTTTATTTAAAAAAAATGCATACACATCTTCTTTTTGATCATCTGTATTTTCTGGCAATAAGTGGGATGATGGGACTCTTTTGGGCCATCTGGGATCCTCACAGGCCTGAAAGCCTGGACCTCATGAAACATCAGCACAGGAGACATGAGGGACTACCCACTTACAGCCTCAAAGAGAACAGCTACCTGTACTGGGAGAACAGGTATCTAATGAGTGCCCACTAAATGCCTAATACCTTAATTCAGAGAAGAAATAAAAGCTACAGGCATGCATAGGGCAAATTATAATTCATTGAGAAAGCTAAATGTTGTTTTAAAAGATTCAAATTATATTCAAAGTTCTAAAATGCCTTATATTAGCTTGAGAAAATTATGAAAATAAAAACAAAAAATTAGATGAAAATATTCTTGAAACTTGTGCTTGCCCCTTTCATGAGAAACTTGTAAAAGAAGAGTTATACCTGAAGAGATTTTCCTATTTTTTTTTTCTTTTTTTGAGATGGAAGTCTCGTTCTGTCGCCCAGGCTGGAGTGCAGTGGCGCGATCTTGGCTCACTGCAACCTCCGCCTCCCGGGTTCATGCCATTCTCCTGCCTCATCCTCCCGAGTAGCTGGGACTACAGGCGCCAGCCACCACGCCCAGCTAATCTTTTGTATTTTTTAGTAGAGACGGGGTTTCACCTTGTTAGCCAGGATGGTCTCAATCTCCTGACCTCATGATCCGCCTGCCTCGGCCTCCCAAAGTGCTAAGATTACAGGCGTGAGCCACCGCGCCCGGCCGAGATTTTCCTATATTTTTATCTTGAATTAGCACATTAGTTTACAGGTAGATAACATAAACCTGATATATATCTTTTAGGAGAGTTAAAAATAGAAGAATTACAAAAAGCACTAAGGATTATAAAGCAAGAAAGTATATTATAACCATTTATATACACTTTCTATTTCCTTCTTGATTGCATGCTAAGGACAGAGGCTATCTTCATCTTTGTAGTCACTGAACCTAGCCTAAAGTCTGGCATGGGGTAGATGATTAAAATGTTTACTGAGTTGAACTAAGTTCGAGGAACTGAAATCTTCACCAAATAAACTGGAAACATTTCTTCAGAGCAGAATTTGGCTCATTACAGATGTGGACATATTTACACATACTTAGTTCTAGTCCTCCTTTTTGGGATGTGGGGTACTGAAATGGATCTAGGGAATCCAGTGATGGGCTTCTGGAATATGCAGGGGGAGTATCCTTGCGACAGCTCCTCTCTTCATACCATACTCATACTCAAGTATGAGTTTCCTTCATATCTGGCAATGCGCTCCCTCTACTGCCAGTGGGAGCCACAGCAGGGGACCAAGAACAGCAGGTTCCAGACAGAATGACAGACATCCTGCCCTCCTTTTCTCCCCCTTTAACCTCACAGTCTTCAACTCTGTCCTATTAGCTGCTTCCAATAGGGACTGCTGAGTAGCTAGGAAAGAATGCAGGATATGTTTCAAAAGTCCAGCACTAGCTGAGGGCAGTGCTATAAAGTTACACTAAAAAGGGCAGTCTATAAAGTTACATAAGACCCAGCTCTGCTCGCTGGGAGCTTTTCCAACTCCATCTGAAGAGACTCCTCAAGCTGTTTGGAGTTTCAGGAAAAGTGTTTGGAATTTCCTGCTTGGCCAACCTATACTGGAGCTATCTCTGGGTAGATGTTGGGAGGTTCCAGCAGAAAAAGTAGTAACTCTGTGCTCCCATTGTCGGCTGCTTCCCCACTGGGTTCAGTGGGGACAGCAAATAGCATAGTCCATTTATAGTCAAAATCTCAGAATAAGAACAAGCCCTTTGCCAAAAACACAGCCCATCTGGCATCAAGCCCTAGGGGCCCACCCAAAGGAGGCAGGACCTGGGAAATCTAACAGCCCAACCCAGTAATACACAACAGTGCTCTAGAAGAGTTTCCTTCTCTGCTTTGGGCAAACGTTTGAAGGAATCTGCGGCCCTGAGAACCTTAAATGCCAAAGTCTCACCCAAGGACTAAAGGAATTACTCAATAAATCTTAACTGAGTACCTCCAAAGTGCCAGACACTGTAGTGTGTGAAAGAAAAAAACCTGATGCCTGCCTTCATGGAGTTTATAGTTCACCCAGGGAGACTAAACAAATAAATAACTATGACTGTATACTCGATTAAGTAGGCCTTTGGAATGTGCTGCATTCAAAGGAAAGATAGTTAAATCATGAAAGCCAGCTCCATCCAGGGAGGCCAATTAGCATATTTATTAATCAGGGTCCAGTTTACACTGTATTGGCAATTAAAATTATCTGTTTTCTCTTTAAAAATTTTTATTGTAGAGACGGGGTCTCACTATGTTGGCAAAGCTGGTCTTGAACTCCCGGGCTCAAGCAATCCTCCCACCTCGGCCTCCCAAAGTTCTGGAATTACAGGTGTGAGCCACCATATGCCCAGCCAATTACTTATGCCTGAATTGAAAACTCTTGAAAAGTCACCGGAATCTATCAATAACATACTCTTGGTTAAGCTCCACTTTTATTCCCATTCATTTTGTGGGAATTCAGTACCTATTTTTATATTACATATTTTTATTTAAGGCATAGGAACTCACTTCAATTAACAAACTACTGTCCATTACACTGGAGAAATAGAACCCTGATTTGCTCTTTTCAGCATCAGGCCATTCATTTTTGTTTCTTTCTGGTCAATGTAAAGAGCTAAGAAAAGGTAGGTATAGAACTCTGCTCTTCAGGACTAATTCTGTAGCAGCTGGCAAGTTATTTGATTCCCCTCAGCCTCTGTTTCATTTTAAAATGGGGATAATACCTTCCTACAGGGTGGTGGTAGGAGTTACAGAGAAGATATATAAGACATCTAGGACAGGGACTGGTATTTAGGCAGGGCTCAATAAATGACAACTATAATAAATGTGAATCAGGAATCTCCTCTTTTCTTTAACCTGAATCCCTCCTATTGCCTTTTTGAGACTGTACTACCGTTCAATTTACCAGTTTACAACAGGGAACCATGTCATGGTCATAGCCAGTGTTTTCTTTTCAATAGGAATACTACCTCAAATTCTTTAACTTTTCTTCACGGCTTTGTTCTTTGTCCCCCTGTAAGTTGTAAAGTAAAGCAGCTCTAACCTAGGCAACATCTCGGGAAAATATATAGAAAGGAGGTTAGAGTGAATTTATGTTAACTGTAAATCAAGAATTTCCTGCCCAATGAACACGGGTAGGTACAGGTCTACTTGAATTGCTCACTGTCACCAGAACACAGTAGAAGCAAGTCTTCCATGTAAACTCATGGGCTGACAAGATTCTCCTTAAAAGATCTAATTATTTCCAGACATGTACACCATGTGACCCTCCCTAAGTTCCACAGCTTCTGCTTTAGAAAAGTTTCTCTGGACAAGGTGGTGTGCCTCCGGGGCTCAAGTGATCCTCCTGCCTCAGCATCCTGAGTAGCTGGGACTACAGGTATGCACCATCACACTTGGCTAATTTTTAATTTTTTTTTGAAGAGACGAGGGTCTTGAACTCTTAGCTTCAAGTGATCCGGCCTTAGCCTCCCAAAGTGCTGAGATTATAGGTGAGAGCCACTGTGCCCAGCCTCATTCTGATTCTGATTCCTGATATTTTTCTAACTTTTTTTTTTAAAGACTAATTTAGGAATTTCTCTATATCCTTGGTTTTCCAAATTTTCAAGATGAAGGACCCTGGGATAAGTTATGTTGGTGCTATTTGTTATGCTGGGTGCTGAGTGGACTCTTTCAATTTGTAGACTCATATTCTTCAGTTCTGGGAAATGTACTTGTATTCTTTCTGTCTTTTCCTTTTGTTTTTGTCCCCACTGATGTGAAAGATTAAGAAAAGAGGTTAAATGATGGAATAACATACCTGAGAAGCTGTAGTGGCTCCAGAATTTCGCTATAGGTTGATTTTAGGAGCAGCAAACAGATTAAAAGGGATAGGTGGGAATGGAGTAGCATCAGGGAATTGTCATAAAGTTCCATTTGTATAGCAATGACAGTGTTTGTACTTGGAATATAGGTTTATTTGGGATAGCTTAAAGAGTATACCATTTTGGTATGATATTCTCTGCATATGGATGACGACAATCTCAGAGTGGCTTAAACAACAGAGGAAATTCATTGTCACACATATCAAGAAGACCAGAGGCACAGTGACTGCCAGGTTAGTGAATTCAGAGGTTCAACATGTCATTTAAATCTGCCATCCTTAGGTCAGAGCATGGCTCCAGTAGTCATCTCAAACATTACACTGAGATATGTTCACATTCACAGGCATGTGTGGAGGAAGGTGGATATCTAAACAAACTGTTACGCTTCAAAGGAGGAATAGAGAAGTCATTGCTGAGTAAGCAACCAATTGTGATCAAGTAGGAGGGTATGCAATCCAGAGCGCCAGGGAGGGATTACTTAGCTTTTGTTAGGAGGTGGAATATTTCCTCCAACTAGAGAGGAGAGGATGGCTGTAGACACGTTTGCAGATTGGTGGTAGGAAGTAAGAGAGCTCACATATGATGGCTTCCTTTTTCCTTCTGAGGTATGAGTCAAGACTACCAACAGCATAGGGAAGGAAACAGGGAGGGTGAGAGGTAGAAGAGAGTAATGAAGGGATGAAACATTTGTTGCAAAGAGTAGAGTAGGATACTTGTTAGAGAAATATAGTAAGACTGCTGCCAATATTAACTTCGGTAATGATGAATTTATTTTTAAATTTTTTGGAACATAAACTCAAGATTTTATTGTCTTCATAACAAAACAAAAGATGACACTTAAAACTGGATCACTTGGCCTTTTCACTTATCTCCTCCCAGTTCAAAGTGCTTGCATCTCTTAATAGCCACATTTTCTCAGATCTGAAATTGAGCTCAACACACTCAAGCCTTAGCACAATCTTCTCTGTAGTTTTAGCTTTTTTCTGGAAAATCGGCTTACTCTGCCCACCATAGCCACTGTGCTTCCTGTCATAATGCTGCTTTCCCTAGACACACAGAGAATCCTTGCCCTTCTTGGACTATGTCACTTTGTGGAGTTGGTGCTTGTGATACTTCTTACAGAAAGTCTGGTGGGTTTGGGGAACATTCACCATGTTCGCTGGAGTGCTGTCAGCTGGTAATGATGAATTTAGAGTGATGCTAAATATGCTGGCCTGTACAACTTTCTCCAGCAAAGCTGAGCTATTTGAGTACAGACATGGAGAAGGTAAGGGGTTATATTCATTCAGGGTTGGGGTTTTATCAGGCAAGTATACTTTTAAAAGAATGTAGTATCAGTGAAGTTTTATTGAAGTTAAAGGACTACTAGTGAGGATGCTTCAACAAGTGAATGGAATTCACTAAGCTATAAATCATAAAATCTATGTGGCAACATGGATAAATGCTTAGGAACTAAATTAAAGCAGAATATAAAATAATCTTAATGCTACAATTACATCCATGCAAAATTTATATATGCATGTAAACAGAAAGCATAGGAAAGTGGGATTATAGGTGATTTAAATTTATTTTGTGATTATTCTTATTTTTATTTTTTTCTTGAGATAGGGTCTCCCTCTGTTGCCCAGGCCAGAGTGCAGTGGTATAATCACAGCTCACTGCAGCCTCACCCTCCTAGGCTCAAATGATCCTCCCACCTCGCCTCCCAAGTAGCTGGGACTACAGGTGTGCACCACCACACCCAGATAATTTTTAAATTTTTTTTGTAGAGACGAGGTTTCACTATGTTGCTCAGGCTAGTCTCGAAACCCTAAGCTTAAATGATCCTCCTGCCTTGGGCTCCCAAAGTTCTAGCATTGATTACAGGTGTGAGCCACCATGCCTGGCCCATTTTTATATATTTATTTTGATTTTTAAAATTCCTACTTAGATGCTTTAGATCATGTTCAGCTTGGATCACAGATTTTTTTGTATGAGCTTTATCTAGTCAACCAGTCAGCACTGACCACTCTGTCTTCTGTACTTCTTTAAAACTTGTTCATAGGGCTAAAATCATACTCATCCTGGGTGCCAGGCTATAATCTCTGTGAATGTTACTAAATTAATCAGATCTTTTGTGAAAGCAAAGCAACCTAAGAAATGTAACAGATTTGCTGAGCTAGGCTTAATGTCAGTTCAAACCCTGTAATTCATTCATTCATTCTCTATTCATTCTACCAATATTTACTGAGCTTATACCATTTGTCAGGCGTTGTGTTAGGCACCAGAAATGCATAGTGGAAAATAAAGCCTATCACGAATTGTGGGGAAGGGGGACAGGAAGATCTTAGGCTCAAGCCTGATACTTACAAAGGACTTCAAATTTAGCTCTTCATCCTTACATTCAAAGTTATAAGTATATTTTTAAATTAACAGCTTTATTAACATGTAATTCAGATAGTATAAAATTCACCTTTTTAATGTATACAATTCAGTGGTTTTTAGTGTGTTCACAGTTATGCAACTCTGACCACAATCTAACTTTGAAATATTTTCATCACTCCTAAAAGCAAGCCCGTCCCCATTGATTTTGTATCCCACAATCTTACTGAACTAGTTTATTAGTTATGATAGTTTTTATGGATTCCTTAAGATTTCTATATACAAGACCATATCATCTGCATATAGCAATAGTTATATTTCTTCCTTTCCAATCTGGATACCTTTTATTTTTCTTGCCTAATTGTTATGACTAGAATTTCCAGAACAATATTGAATAGAAGTGTTGAGAATGAACATCCTCCTTTTATTCCTGATCTTAGAGAGAAAGTTTTCAATCTTTCACCTTAAGAATGATGTTAGCTGTGGGTTTTTTGTAGATGCCCTTTGTCAGGTTGAGGAAGTTAGATGCTATTCCTAGTTGAGTGTTTTTATCATAAACTTGTCAAATGTGTTTTCTGCATCCACTGAGATGATTATGTTGTTTCTGTCCTAAGTACAATCATTACAGTATTAAAATTAATTTGTTAAGGCAAATATTTAAAATATACTAAAATTATTATAATAGTGGTTTGGATTTCAATCATTTTCAATATATGAAGAATTTCATATATTAAATGAAAGAGGTCAATTTCTCTCTAGATCTCTGAGAGACCCTGGATTCAAAGACTCTATTCTTGTCCTCATGGAGTTTATGGTTATATAAAATAATTTGTTAATTGTTATAATGGAGCTCCAGACAAGGTCAAATGAAGGCATAGTGGAAATCATACCCAAGTTTGCATGAGGTAATCAAGAAAAGTTTCAGGAGGGTCAAATGACTGAACTGTTAGAGGAGGAGTAGAAATATGTGGTGGGGTCGGGGACTAAGGAAGGGATCTCAGTTAGAGAAAACCATGTGCATACAAAGAGTTCCTCAGAAAGATCTGAGCTCCACAGTCCCAGACTCAAGACATAGACTCCCAGTGCATTTGCTGAAAGGAGTAATGAAATTACAAAAGAAAACTAAAGACTTAACCATATAGATATTATGAAATTCTGTATGTCAAAAATCACAAACAAAATTAAAAGGCAAGCAAATATTTGTTATAACAAAAGGCATATAGGCATATATCTTTAATGTGTAAAGAACTTGTGTGAATAACTAAAGACTAAGATTTAAAAAAAATTGTGGTGAAAACACATAAGATCTAACTTCATAACAACTGTTTAAGTGTACAGCACATATTGTTAACTAACTATAAGCATAGCATTGTACAGCAGATCTCTAGAACTTATTCAGCTTGTATAACTGAAACTTTATACCCATGAAGGAGCAAATCCCCATTCGCCCCCAAACCCCACCCCAGGCCTTGGCCACCACCATTCCTTCTATTTTTGCTTCTATGATTTTAACTATTTTTGATAACTAATACAAGTGGAATCATGCCATATTTGTCCTGTGACTTTCTTATTTCACTTAAAACTAAGATCTTGGCTGGGTATGGTGGCTCATGCCTATAATTCCAGCACTTCAGGAGAATGAGGCAGGTGGATCACTTGAGGTCAGGGATTTAAAACCAGTCTGGCCAACGTGGTGAAACCCTGTCTCTACTAAAAATACAAAATTAGCTGGGCGTGGTGGCGCACACCTGTAATACCAGCTACTTGGGAGGCTGAGGCAGGAGAATCGCTTGAACCTGGGAGGCAGAGATTGCGGTGAGCCGAGATTGTGCCATTGCACTCCAGCCTGGGCAACAAGAGCGAAACTCCGTCTCAAAAAAAAAAAAAGAAAAAAAACCCAAAAAACTAAGATCTTAATAGAAAATTGCCAGGATATGAACAAACATTTCAGAGAAGAGGAAACAAAATATACTTAATGAACATACAAAAAGTTTGAACTTTAAAACAATAAATTACCACCTTTTGGCTACCAATTATCAGACAAAATAATAATAGTTAATTCTGGTGAAGGCAAGTACAACAGGCATTTTCATTCATTGCCAGTGTATGTATATTTTGGTACAATCTTAATAATGAGCTCGGAAAAATATATATCTCAAGTCTTAAAACTATTCAAATCATTTAACTCAGTAACTCCACCTCTAGAATTCTATGCTAAGGAAATTATCAGAGATGTGGACAAAGATTTTTGCATAAAGTTAATAATTAAAAAGTATTAAAATGGCCAGGAGCGGTGGCTCACGCCTGTAAACCTAACACTTTGGCAGGCCGAGGCGGGCAGATCACTTGAGGCCAGGAGTTTGAGACCACCCTGGGCGACATGGTAAAACCCTGTCTCTACTAAAAACACAAAAATTAGCTGGGCATAGTGGCATGCACCTATAATCCCAGCTACTCAGGTGGCTGAGTCAGGAGAATTGCTTGAACCTGGGAGGTGGAGGTTGCAGTGAGCCAACATCATGCCACTACACTCCAGCCTGGATGACAGAGTGAAACTCTGTCTCAAAAAAGAAAAAAAAAATAATAATAGATGTTGTTGCTGTGGATGTGGTGAAAAGGGAACACTTATACACTGCTATTGGGAATGTAAACTGGTACAACCACTATGGAAAACAGTATGGCGATTCCTTAAAGAACTGAAAGTACAACTACCATTTGACCCAGCAATCCCACTACTGGGTATCTACCCAAAGGAAAAGAAGTCACTATATGAAAAAGACACATGTACACACGTTTATAGCAGCACGATTGGCAATTGCAAAAATATGGAACCAACCTACATGCCCATCAACCAAGTGGATAAAGAAAATGTGGTATATATACACCACGCAATACTACTCAGCCATAAAATGGAATAAAATAACGGCTTTTTTAGCAACTTGGATGGAGCTGGAGGCCACTATTCTAAGTGAAGTAACTCGGGAATGGAAAACCAAATATCTTATGTTCTCACTCATAGTAGGAGCTAAACTATGAAGATTCAAAGGCGTAAGAATGATATAATAGACTTTGGGGACTAGAGGAGTAACGGCGGGGGTGGTGGTGAGGGATAAAAGACAATATTTGGGCATAGTGTACACTGCTCAGGTGATGGGTGCACCAAAATCTCAGAAGTCACCACTAAAGAACTTATCTGGCTGGGTGCGGTGGCTCACGCCTGTAATCCCTGCACTTTGGGAAGCTAAGGCGGGTGTATTACCTGAGGACAGGAGTTCGAGACCAGCCTGGCCAACATGATGAAACCCTATCTCTACTAAAAATACAAAACATTAGTTGGCCATGGTGTTGCATGCCTGTAATCCCAGCTACTCAGGAGGCTAAGGCAGGAGAATCGCTTGAACCTGGGAGGCAGAGGTTGCAGTGAAATGAGAGTGCACCACTGCACTTCAGACTGGGCAGCAAGAGCAAAACTCCGTCTCAAAAAAACAAAAACAAAAAACAAAAACAAAAAAACTTATCTAAGTTACCAAAAAAACCACCTGTGTCCCAAAAACTATTGAAAAATTTTTAAAAGTACTATAAAACCACAAATGTCCATTTGGGGTAAGCAAGTTATGGCTCATTCAAACATAGATTTCTTATACAACTGCTAAAATTTTGGCCTCTAAGAACTGTTCAATGATATCTTTTCATTTTATACTTGTCTTTTGTAGATTCTCTACAGTGAGCATATATTTCATCTATATTCAGAAAAAGAATTTTTTTCAGAAAATGTTTTTAAACAAAAAAAATTTTTTAACTTTCAAGGGAAAATGTACACTTTTAATCTTTCTCCATAAAAAGGAACTTCAGTTTAAGGATTTTCGAGGTTAAAGTCTGGACAGCTAAAAGTATTTCCTTAGAACTCTTCTTCACAATCCCTTAATCTTGAGGGAGTGAGAGATTTATAAACCTAATCTCTAGAGGAAGAAAACCCATGGTGATATATCCCACACTCTTAGACAGTGGCACTATTTGACTTTCAATTTTTGGGTCTGGTGCACCAGGGCTTTTTCTTAGGGGGTGGGGTTTGGGGAAAGCCTTTACATTTTGAGAACCACTAAGTAAGAGGCTGAGAACAGAGTTTAGATCTAAGAGTCATGCTACTCAAAGTGTGGTCTGCAGATCAGCAGAATCAGCTTCATGTGTGAACTTATTAAGCACAGATAAATACTTGGGCCCCATGCCAGATGTACTGAATCAGAATTTCAGGGGTGATCCGGGTGATTTTTTTTTCCATCAAGTTTGAGAAGCACATGTGTAGAAGTATTGGACAAAGAGACCAACAGTACTCAAAGGGAAAGAGGTGCAGAGCCCTCAATGTTCAGTGTATATTTTTTAGAAGTATAAACATTATTAAATATTCTAAAAACAACTATTGTTTTCATATTATAAACTAGAAAGCATGGCTAGAAAAAATATCTTGACTCAGGACTAGAGTGGATTAAAAAAACTAGCATAGGTCCTAAACTAAAGGAGGAAAAAAGGATCTATAATTCATTTCTGGTTCCATGAAACTCATTAAATTAATTAAGGCTAAGGATTTCACATAGGAATTTGGAGACTGTATGTATGCAGCACATATTTTGGTTACATGTCTCTCGAACCATGGTTGGCTGCTACTGGTGCATGGTCAGTTGAAGACTATATATATCCCAAACCCAACCATTTATCTTTATCTCTTTCTACCTTGGAGTCATAACTCAGTAGAAGAAATATCTGTATCAGTGACATTTCTTTTGAGATGGAGCCTCACTCTGTCACCCAGGCAGGAGTTCAGTGGCACGATCTTGGCTCACTGCAACCTCTGCCTCCCAGGCTCAAGCAATTCTTGTGCCTCAGCCTCGGGAGCAGCTGGAACTATAGGTGCCCCCCACCATGCCTGGCTAATTTTTTTATTTTTGGTAGAGACAGGGTTTTCCCATGTTGCCAAGGCTGGTTTCAAACTCCTGAGCTCAGGCAATTCACCTTACTTGGCCTCCCAAAGTGCTGGGATTCCAGGTGTGAGCCACTGCACCCGGCCTGTATCAGTGACTTCTGAACTATTCTTTACAGAGCTCCTTCAGGGGACTTTGAAAAGGAAGTGAAGGGGATGTAGATGAAAAGAGGGAAACCTGAACAGGTTAGACTACTTCTCCCAACTCCATGCATTCAACCAAAACAGCCCAACTTTTATCTTTCTGAGTCCCTTTCCTGTAGAATATATTTGAACAAAAGTCTGTTTTAAAAAAAGTTTGAAATTCTTTATTCTCTACTATAGATTCTCACAGGCCAATAAAAAGCCACAGCTGTCTTTTTTTCCTCATAAGATAAATGCTCCTTGTTAGCTATTCATCACCACCACTTGGTTGTTAGAAAGGACTCACAAATGTATAATGAGGCAGGTGATCCTGCTTCCAGCCCTCCTTTCTCCAGCCACTATCATTAAGGATGAATAAACTAATACAGTTGCAGGTTGCTGTGTTGGATATCAGGCAAAGAACATTATATAAACTGAAAGAGACACTATGCTATCTAAGAAGTTAACTATAGCTATAAATATAAAACTAAAGAGAGCAATATTTTAAAGAATAGCTCTTGTATGACCAAATAAGATATGTCCTTCAAAGTGGTCACATTGGTTATGAGGGAATAATTGGCAAGAGGAAAGAATTTTTAAAACTCTAAAAAACAAAGTAGCCACCTTGAGAAATTTAACTCATTCCAGTAGTGCTCCTAGTAAAAGCATTCTTAGAACTCTTTTCAGAAGTACAAAAAACCACCAGCCCATCCACAAAATTGTGAAATAAAATCAATTGTTGTTTTAAGTCACTAAGTTTTGGGGTGTTTTGTTATACAGTAATAGATAAGTAAGTGATATGGTCTGGCTATGTTCCCACCCAAATCTCATCTTGAATTCCCATGTGTTGTGAGAGGGACCTGGTGGGAGGTAATTGAATCATGGGGGCAGGTCTTTCCTGTGCTGTTCTTGTGGTTGCAAATAAGTCTCACAAGATCTGATGGTTTTATAAGGGGGTTTCCCTGCACAAGCTCTCTCTCTCTCTTTGCCTGTCATCTATGTAAGATGTGACTTGCTCCTCCTTGCCTTTAAGTCCTTTAAACCTCTTTCTTTTGTAAATTGCCCAGTCTTGGGTATGTCTTTATCAGCAGCATAAAAACAGACTAATACAGTAAGGCAGAAACGTCTGAATCACTAGGCTTTGGGAGATGTTTAAAAGGAAATCATTAGTCTTATAGAAAAACTCTAGCTATCCGGAACTCTAGAAAAATAAGCTGTTCTGTTTGGCTATAACTTTAAATAAATAGAATACAGCCAACTTTAACAAAGTTTGACTGTATCTTTAAACAGAAATAAACAACTTTCAAAAAACAAGTAAAGAACATTTTGGAAGAGAAACAACTTGAGGATGAACGGGACTAGTAGTAGGTTCCCAACTTTCTCCCCTGCAGTTTTTGCTTTTTACCTTGGGTTCATCTAAATCCTATCTATGCTGCCTTTAGGAGAACTTTGCTCTTTTTCTTTTGCCTGGGCGTGGATAAAAATAAATGTCCATTTTCCCTAAGTACACTAAATACAAGGGTGCATTTTCTTTTTTTAAAAAGAATTATACAGGAAAAGAAAGGAAGCACAAAGTATAAAAACAGATAAATTAAATACAGATTTTTTTGGATCCTAAGATAAACAAGTTAAGTATAGACTTTTGATCCTAAGATAATTAAACTTTAGCCAGAAGTTGGCTGGCCCTATTTTTCTTTCCACCCAGTTATCAGTCTATTGTCCTTGTCTGCAGGAACTCACACAAGAAGCCAAAAATACAACACATACCTCAGAGTTTACCATCTCATTTTCTTGAAGATAAAAGACTTTTATTAAACCAACAATTCCAAGGAACAGAGGGTTTCTTCCTAAAGTATCAAAATTAATTTTTTAAAAACTTTAAGTGTTTTGGCAGAACTTTTTAAAATGTATTATGTAGGCTATAATTTAACTTTTCTTGATGACTCACTACTATTTTGTTTTTTGTTTTTGTTTTTGAGAGTTTCACTCTGTCGCCCAGGCTGGAGCACAGTGACACAATCTCAACTCACTACAGCCTCTGCCTCCTGGGTTCAAGCAATTCCTGTGCCTCAGCCTCCCAAGTAGCTGGGATTACATGTGCATGCCACCACGCTTGGCTAATTTTTGTATTTTTAGTAGAGCTGGGCTTTTACCATGTTGCCCAGGCTGGTCTTGAACTCCTGGCCTCAAGTGATCTGCCTGCCTCAGCCTCCCAAAGTGCTGGGATTACAGGCATAAGCCGCCACGCCTGGCCTCACTACTGTTAACATTAATAATATACCAGGCTAAAATAATGTTGTTTTCAGTGTCTATTAAGGACTTGCATACCAAATCAACAATCCCATAAGGATTGTGTGTTAAGAGAAATGGTTCACTTTTGCCATTTCTTTTTTCTTTTTTTGTTTTTTTTTTTTTGAGATGTAGTCTCACTCTGTCGCCAGGCGATCTCGGCTCACTGCAACCTCTGCCTCCTGGGTTCAAGTGATTCCCCTGCCTTAGCCTCCTGAGTAGCTGGGACTACAGGCACGCACCACCACACCCGGCTAATTTTTTTTTTGAATTTTAGTAGACATGGGGTTTCACCATGTTGGCCAGGATGGTCTTGATCTCCTGACCTCGTGATCCACCCACCTCGGCCTCCTAAAGAGCTGGGATCACAGGCGTGAGCCACCGCGCCTGGCCTCTTTTTCTTTCTTTTTTTGAGACAGAGTCTTGCTCTGTCTCCCAGGCTTGAGTGCAGTGGCATGATCTCAGCTCAGTGGCATGATCTTGGCTCACTGCAACCTCTGCCTCCCGGGGTCAAGCAATTCTCCTGCCTCAGCTACCCAAGTAGCTGGGATTACAGGCAGGCGCCAAGATGCCTGACTAATTTTTGTATTTTTAATAGAGACAGGGTTTCGCCATTTTGGCCGGGCTGGTCTCAAACTCCTGATCTCACGTGATCTGCCTGCCTCAGCCTCCCAAAGTGCTGAGATTACAGGCATGAGCCACCAAACCTGGCATTCTTTTGCCATTTCTATTTAACAGTCCTGGAATTCCTACCTGAGTAATTAGGTAAGAAAAAGAAATAAAAGGCATACAAATTGGGAAAAAAAAAAAACCAAAACTAAAATTATCTCTGTTCCAAGGTTACACGATCTTGTATGGAGAACACCCTAAAGATGCCACAAAAACATTAGAACTAATAATGATTAGTTGCAAATACCCTAAGCATTTTTTAGTGTCAGCAATGATGCAGGGTACAAAATCAACACATAAAAACCAGCTTTTTTATTTAATTAGCTGAGAATATAGGCAAAGTTGTTCTACTGTCCTGTAGTACATGTATAATTTTCCTATGGCAGTTACAACAAAAGATAGGAGAAACAAAGTTCCGTCTAAGTGTGACAGATGTAGATACATATCTTTCACAATGTTCCACAGGGACAGAGAAGTGATAAATCCTGCACCAAAGGAGTGAAAGGAGGAGACTGAATCTGCATGCCCAATGATCTCATGTTTAATAGCCTCTACATCTACTAATGGGCCCACTGCCAATGCAAGAGGGTCAGTTAAGTGGACATGAGTGTGCATATCATTAATAATATCAATGTCTTTAATGTCTGCAGTTAATGTTTTAATCACCCTAGGTCTGGAGATCTTCTTGGGGTATAATGAAGATCTTGTTGTCCTAAGATAGCTTCCCACAGATGTGTTTATTAGGATATACAATCTGCTGCCGACTTCAGGAGAAGTAGCATATAGTATTCGGATATATGGCTGGTAATACATAATTGTGATGTTCTTATACATGGCCAGGGGATACAGAGTTGTTGACCCATGGAACAAATTCTACCCAAATGGGTTTGCAACACCAAAACAAAACAGTTCTCCAGTTTACTAACCCAATTAAGTTCTTTTCATCCACAACAGCTCAACAAATGGGGTCATATCAGTAAGGGGTTGTACAGTAAAGATCTGCAAGAAAAGACTGAATGTTGCTTCTCAGTGATGGCTGCACTATCAATTAATGGGTTCAACATATCCACAATGTACTGCTGTGTCGTATCTCTCTTCCCTCAATGAGAAATCATGACAACTTGGCCAGATGCATCTGAACAGTCTACACCGAACCTGTCATCTAGAAACTTGTACTCACTCTCTAAGGGGAAGGACAGGAGAGGTGCAGATCGTCAAACTTTACATGGGTTGGATGCTCAAGTACTTGCCCATTAAAGATGCTTGACTGTGTAGTCACTATTCGTTTTGTGAGGATTAAATGCCAGATTCAAGTATACATACTCATAGTTTAATCTCAGCTATGCCAGGTGTGCTCAGTATCAGTGGGGAAGATGAGCAATAAAGACAATTTTAACCTTAGCGTCCTCTAGGCAAAAACATAACTGTCTTTTGTACAGCTGTCAAGTGAGTGGCCATGTGTCAGGGCCATTTCCACAATAACACCATGTAGTGCATGGATCTGTTACATATTGTTTTACTATAGTATATCCAGCTTAATCAGGTGCAGGGCGACAGTTGAAGGAGTACTCCTGGAAAATGCCTAAGATATGTAGATCTCTAGGATCTTGCACCTTCTGGTGGTTGCATGAAATTCTTCAGAGGAATCATCAGTGATAGTAAATTTACATGTTACATTCATAACAACTCTTATGGGAAATTTAGGATATTCAAATAGGACAACACCAGGAATTGACGTATCACAGAACTTGGTTTACAACAGTCCGAGCATGGATCCCATGCATCACCTTCAGCAGGAGGGGCAGATGGGCTGGCCAAGTGCAAGCTTGATAGAGCGGGATAAGTGACTGCAGGTGCAAGAGACATAGCATCTCTAAGGTTAGCCAACCCTTGGGGAGCCTTTGTAGAAACAAAAGAAGATTTAATGCACCGAGCTTTGTTTCTACGAAGATGAACCTGTTATTTATGGCTCAACTGGTGATACTGCCTGACTTAATTTTAAGTCGAGTTTCTCTAGAGACTTCTGTTTCCTGTTGATTCTCTGTGATCCTCTCTGAGAGCTTCCTGAGAACCCGCTCGATTGAAGTTTGGCTCTCTCATGCCTCAACCTCTGCAGCCTCGAGGTAGGTCTCCACTTGTTGCATGCTTCTCGTTCGGACTCTGTCTAGATCTAAGCCCTCCTCCTCCACTGCTTACTCAACCACTGACTCGAGAGTTTCTCTGGTTACTAGCTCGCTCATCACTCTCTGATGCTTCTTTTGCTTTGGTGTAATTTTCTTCATCTGTTTTGGAGCAACTTTATCCAATCAGCTGTATGCCTAAACACTAACAATGAACAATCTGAAATGGAAATTAAAACAATTCCATTTACAGTAACATCAAAAAGAATAAAATACTTAGGAATGAACTTAACCACGGAAGTGAAAGACTTGTACACTGAGAAATACAAAACATTGCTGGAAGAAATTAGACATAAATAAATGAAAAAACATCTGGTGATCATGAATTGGAAAACTTGCTATCATTAGAGGTGTCAGTATTACCCAAAGTCAGCTAGAGATTCAATACAATCCCTATCAAAATCCCAACAATGTTTTTTGCATAAATAGTAAAATCCATCCTAAAATTCATATGGAATCTTAAGGGATCCTGAACAACCAAAACAATCTTGAAAAAGAAAACCAAAGTTGGAGGACTTACATTCTTGATTTTCCAAACTTACTACAAAGCTACAGTAATCAAAACAGTGTTTTATCAGCATAAAGATAAACATAAAGACCAATGGAAGAGACTAGAGAGCCCAGAAATAAACCCTCACATATCTGGTCAGATGAGTTTTGACAAGGGTGTGAATACCATTCAGTGGGGAAAGGTCAGTCTTTTCAACAAATGGTGTTGGAAAAACTGGATATCCACAAGCAAATGAAATAAGTTAGACCCTTATCTTACATTACATACAAAAATTAACTCAAAATGGATCAAAGACCTAAAGATAAGAGCTAAAACTATATGTATAATATATATAATATATAAAAAATATATTTTATATATTATATATATCATATATAATATAAATATATACTTTATATATAATAAATTATATTATAATAAAATATATTATATATATTTAATAAAATATATATATATAGTATATATAATGTATAATATATACTATAGTGTATATAATGTATAATATATACTATAGTATATATAATATATACTATATATAATATATACTATAGTATATATTATATATACTATAGTATATATAATATATAAAATATATACTGTAGTATATATAATATATAAAATATATATTATATAATATATATAAATTTTATATATGTATAATATATATTATATATAAATTTTATATAATATGTATAATATATATTATATATAAAAAACAAGAAAACAGAGGGAAAGCTTCATGTCACTTAATTTGGCAATGATTCTTGGGTAAGACAAAATGCACAGGTAACAAAAGAAAAATTAGATAAATTAGATTTCAAATTTAAAAACTTTCGTGCATCAAAGGACACTTTTAACAGAGTGAAAGGCAATCCATGGAATAGGAGAAAATATTTGCAAATCATACATCTGAGATGGATTAATGTCCAAAATGTATTAAAAAACTCTTACAACTCAACGACAAACAACCCAATCCAAGAATGGGCAAAGGACTTGAATAGGCATTTCTCCAAAGATATACAAATGGCCGATAGGTATGAAATACATGAAAAAATGCTCGATATCTTTTCATTAGAGAAATATGAATCAAAATCATGAGATATCACTTCACACTGCTTAGGATGGTTATATTACTATTATTATTTTGAGATGGAGTTTTGCTCTGTCACTCAAGCTGGAGTGCAGGGGCATGAGCTCAGCTCACTGCAACCTCAGCCTCCCCGGTTCAAGCCATTCTCCTGCCTCAGCCTCCTGCCTCAGGGATTATAGGTGTGCGCCACCATGCCTGGCTAATTTTTGTATTTTCAGTAGAGATGGAGTTTTACCATGTTGGCCAGGCTGGTCTTGAACTCCTGACCTTAGGTGATCCGCCCGCCTCGGCCTCCCAAAGTGCTGGGATTACAGGCGTGAGCCACCATGCCCAGCCTAGGATGGTTGTTATTTAAAAAAAAAAAAAGAAAACAAGTGTTGCCAAGGATGTGGAAAAATTGGAGCCCTTATGCATTGCTGATGAGAATGTAAAATGCTATAGCCACTGTGGAAAACAGTGGTTCCTCAAATAAATAAATAAATAAATAAACATAAACATAAAATTACCATACAATCCAGCAACACCACTTCTGGGTATATACCCACAAGAACTAAAAGCAGGGACTCAAACATATCTGTACACTCATGTTCACATCAGCATTTTTCATAATAGCCAAAAGATAGATGCAACCAAAGTATCCATCAAAAGATGAATAAACAGAATATAGTGTATACATACAATGGAATATTATTCAGCCTTTAAAAGGAGTGAAATTCTGGCCAGGTGCAGTGGCTCACACCTGTAATCCCAGCACTTTGGGAGGCTGAGGCTAGTGGATCACTTGAGGTCAGAAGTTCGAGACCAGCCTGGCCAACGTGGTGAAACCCCCTCTCTACTAACAATACAAAAATTAGCCGGGCGTGGTGGCGTGCACCTGTAATTCCAGCTACTCAGGAGGCTGAGGCATGTGAATCACCTGAACTGGGAGGCAAAAGTTGCAGTGAGCCAAGATCGTGCCACTGCACTCTAGCCTGGTTGATGGAGGGAGACTCTGTTTCAAAAAATAAATAAATAAAAATAAAAGGAGGGAAGTTCTGATACAGGCTATAAAGTGGATGAACTTTAGACATTATGCTAACCAACTGCAGCACTATTTACAATAGCAAAGCCACGGAATCAACCTAAATACCCATCAATGACAGACCAGATAAAGAAAATGTGGTATATATACACCATGGAATACTATGCAGCCATAAAAAAGAATGAGATCATGTCTTTTGCAGAAACATAGATGGAGCTGGAGGCTATTATCCTTAGCAAACTAACAGAAACAGAAAACCAAATACTGCATGTTCTCACTTATAAGTGAGAGCTAAATGATGGGAATGTATAAACACAAAGAAACAAACAGCAGACACCAGGGTCTTCTTGAGGGTAGAAGGAGGGAGAGGAGCAGAAAAGATAACTATTGGGTACCAGGTTTAATACCTGGGTGATGAAATAATCTGTACAACAAACCCCTGTGAAATGAGTTTATCTATATAACAAACCCTCATATGTACCCCTGAACCTAAAATAAAAGTTAAAAAAAAACCCAAAAAACAAAAAAAGGCATTATGCTAACCGAAATAAACCAGTCACAAAGAGACAAATAGTGCATGATTCCACTTATATGAGGTACCCCCAGTAGTCAAATTCAAAGATAGAAAGTAGAATGGTGGTTGCCTGGGGCGGAGTAGGGAGAAATGGGGAGTTAGCATCTTACTGGTACAGAGTTTCAGTCTGGGAAGATGAAAAAAAGTTCTGGAGATTGTTATCAGTAATGGTTGTACAATAATGTGAATATATTTAATGCCACTTAAGAATTATTACAATGGTAAATTCTATGTTATATATATATATATTACCACCATAAAGAGTAAATATGGTACAGCACAGGTTCTGCTGAGTTATTTTGTTGTTGTTAGGATTCCCTTCTACCCCATCACCTAGCTCTATCAGAGCAATGTTGACATCTGGCTACTCAAAATGATGCTCTCGTTTCGTATGACGGACTCATTTGACAAAAATTATATTAAATGCCAATGTCTGAATGGGTGTTTTTTTTTTTTCCTGGGTAACTTCAACACTGATCAATCAAGACCATTTCTAGATAGCCTGCCCTTACCCTAACATGAAGTGAACCATCTCTTCAGTCAAGTGACTTTTAGCAGGGTGCATAGTCATTGTGTATGAGTAACAGGAAGAAAAGGGTGAGTTATTATCCTAAATTTGCAGATAAGCCCAGAGAGAAAAATAGAACACATAAGCCCTCCCATGAACTTGCCAGATTTAGCAAGTAAAAATACAGGACTCCCTGTTGTTTATTTGAAATTCAAATTTAACTGGGCACTCTGCGTTTTATCTGGCAACACTGAAGTATTGGAGGTGAGGAGAAAAATAACCCAGGGTGTTCTGGGGTAACTGAGGTCTTAACAGGAAGCCTAGACAGGAAAAAGTAGAAAAGGCCATTAAAAAGATACTGTTAAAAAAAAATTGTATTGCTTAATCCATCCAGATCAGGAGCCCCTCCCCACACTGGGTTTCTATGATCCAAGGCTTTATTTTGAGACAGAGCATTGCTCTGTCACCCAGGCTGGAGTGCAGTGGCATGATCTCAGCTCACTGCAACATCTGCCTCCCAGGTTCAAGGGGTTCTCCTGCCTCAGCCTCCTGAGTTGCTGGGACTTCAGCCTCCTGAGTTGCTGGGACTACATGTGCACACCACCATGCCCGGTAATTTTTGTATTTTTAGTAGAGATGGGGTTTCACCATGTTGGCCAGGCTGATCTTGAACTTCTGACCTCTAGTGATCCGCCCACCTGGGCCTCCCAAAGTGCCGGGATTACAGGCTGAGCCACTGTGCCTGGCCTGATCCAAGACTTTATAAAGACATGTAAGAGGGTGGGAGACAGAAAGCGGAAAAGGATACATCAAAACTAGCAATGGATGAATGAGAACATGTCCAGCCTCCAGTTAAGGCAACTGTGGCTTCAAAAAGGAATCTTAAATACCAGCACAGAAATCAGAGGGATCCTAACCTGGCTCAAAACAGAAGAGAAACAGTGGCTGGCCATACAGCAGGACGGGCATAACTAACAGAATACCAGGTATACTGTTTGGATCTGCTCTTCCTTCCATTAAGCCATCCACCACTGCTTAATATCTAAGGAGCCGGCTAAGAAAATCCAGTCACTACTTTTATTTGCTAATACTTTGAGCCCCAGTTACAATAATGCCACTACTAATTAGGTAACTACTTTCTACCTTATCAACTCCTACAGCTTTCCAGCCATTGTTTCATCCCTCAGCGATACCACCTGCTTCCGCGTGGAACCCAAACCCCCAGGAAACTAAATCTGCTCAGGTCACCCACCTAGGAATAAATAAAAACAGGTTTCAGGCCCTTTGTCCTTTGTAAATTCCGCCTTTTTTTTTTTTTTAAGGCCTGTGTTCTTTATCACGGACACTGTTCACATAGTGGTAATCCTTGCCTGACTCAGATCTACTTGTTCCTGCGTTTCATTCCTCCGCTGCTCAATTACTTGTTCAAAACGCAAAGGACAACTGGTAGTGAAGACCCTCCACCAGCAACACTACCATGTGCCAGGCACCGTGCTGGGGACCGGGGATACAAAGATGAGTAGTGTACCGTCCTTGCCCCCAGGACAGTTCCCCGTGTCCGCAGGGCCGGCCTGGAGGGCCACAGCCAACTGTGGGCAACAGGATCACCGTGCCCTTCGCGGCAAGTGAGTGCAGTAGTAGGGGACGGTTACTGCCAAGCCAAAGGTTTTCTCCAGGTAAAACTGGATGACAGAGAGACAGAGACTGAAGCAACGCCGGCGCCGGGCGGATAATAAAGGGAGGCAGGGGCTAAAAGGGTGGAGGGAGCAGAGGACCCGGCCGGGAACTGGCAGTAGGGAGGCCCCCGCTGCAGTCGCCGGCCTGGGTGCCGGGCGGCCACGCTTCCCCAAAGCCGTCACAGGGACTTGGGGTACCAAGGTGACTACTGGGCGCGAGTCGTTTTGTGGGGGGAGGGTGTCCCCAAGGGGGCAGTTTGAGGAGACGGTTGGGGATGCATCTGGGGTGGCGCCCAAAGGGACGGTGGGTGCTGGGTGTTTGAAGGTCCGGTGGACGCAGAGCTGAAGGGTCAGGAGAAGGCCAAGGGTCAGAAGGGCTGGGGACGAGGTCTGCCCAGGGGGTCGGGGCGGACGCAGAGGGCGGGTGCAGCCGAGGGGGAAGGGCTGAAGGGAAGGGCAGGCGCTGAAGGCACATAGGTGGGAAGACAGGCCCTCCCCTAAGGGAGACCTTGGAACGCGGGGCAGTGGGTCTGTGGGACCCTGCCCGCCTCCGGAGAGGCGTTCCTACCTCGTTTCTCGCCTCAGCCTCGTCCTTCCGCGCCGGCGGCGGCGGCGGCGGCGGCGTGTCTCGCCCTCCAGGGGTCGCGTTGCAGGCTAGAGGCGCCGGCGGCCCCTCCCTCCGGGCGGGTTGGAAAGGCCGGCCCCTGTCGGCGTGGCGCGATGGTCCGATCTGGGTTGCCCTCAGGCCGCCCCTCCGGGCGGCGCGTTGGTTCGGTCCGCCCGGCCTAAGGTGCTCGCCCCCTCCCCGGCTCCCGCAGCGATGGGCGCAGCCGAGTCACGCGCAGAGCTTTCCCGCTAAGGGAGCGGAGAGGCTTCCGCCGTGGCCCAATCTTCTGCGGCCCGCGCCCGCCCCCGCGGGGTGGTGCCTGGCGACGCGCGGCTCCCGGGTGCTGGAACCCAGGGAAACCTTCCGCGGGCCTCCAGGGCCGGTGGGTGTGAGTCCCAGCTTCGCCTGAGGCGGCGGTTCTCAACGCTGGCTTCCCAGTAGAACCTAGTGTGGAAACTAACCAAACAACAGAAGGAGGGCTGACCTCACACTGGACCGACTCAGAACCACTGGGGTGGAGTGGGGTGGGGTGAGGTGGGGTTGGCCTCCAGTGCATAGCCAGGGTTCGGAACCCCTGATGAAACGTAGAACCCATGCGCCCCCTGCCCTTCAGGGCCGGATGTGTGGGGGACATGGAAGATGCCTGTGTGTGACTCCTGCTGTTTACAGCCAGAGGGGGATGGGGCAGGCAGTCCTGCAAATGTTATGGGAAACCCACTGTATTAGTCCGTTCTGACACTGCTATGAAGAAATACTATGAAGGAAAGAGGTCTGACTCACAGTTCCGCATTGTTGGCGAGGCCTCAGGAAGCTTATAATCATGGCAAAAGGCAAAGAAGTAGCCATCCTTTTCGCAGGGTGGCAGGACAGAGTGAGTGCAGGCAAGGGAAATGCCAGACGCTTATAAAATCATCAGATCTTGTGGGACTCACTCACTGTCACGAGAAGGGCGCAGGGGAAACCAGCCCCATCATCCAATTACCTCCACCTGTTCCCGCCCTTGACACAGGGGGATTATGGGAATTACAATTCAAGATGAGATTTTGGGTGGGGACACAGCCAAACTGTTACAGGTAGTTAGGCATGAGCGGGGCAGGAGAGGGTTCTCCCCTGCTACCCACTAGGGATGTTGGGTGATGGTTCTGAGGCAGGAGAATAGGGACTGGAGGCAGGGAACCTAAGACTGGTTCATGCCAACTTCCTGGAACTAAATTGAAAGGAAAACCCTAACTTTCCACACCTAAGTAACAAACCCCCCACCCAACTTTTCTGCCCAGCAGATGGGAAATTGGCTATCTGCAACCAATTAGACTGACTGCAGCCGAGTCTAACTTTGCATAGAAGTATAACTTTGTAACTTCACCCTAGCCTCTGATTGGTTGCTTCTTGCAACCAATCAGATGTTTGCACAGGTGTGCGACCTTTGTAACTTCACTTCAGCCTCTGCTTGGCTGCTTTCTGCAACCAATCAGACTGATTGCAGGCTACGAATTCATTTACATGAGGTGAGCATGAAGTGGCGGGTAACTTCTAGGGGGTATTTGGACCCAAGAAGATTCTGTTTCCTGGCCCTTGAGCCGCTGCTCCGGCTGCTCCCACACTGTGGAGTGTGCTTTCGTTTTCAATACATCCCTGCTTTCCTTCTTTTGTTCCTTCATTCTTTCTTTGCTTTGCTGGGCGTTTTGTCCAATTCTTTGTTCAAAACGCCAAGAACCTGGACAACTTGCAGTCAGACCCTCTACCAGTGACAGTTCCATAATTACCTCATTGCTTCTTTAAAAAGGATAATTCGGCTGGGCCAGGGAGAGGCCATTTCCTGATGGTCCACACATGTTAACATCAAAATGCTAATTGAATGCAGGCCTCAGGGAGAAGCAACTTTCTGGGCATGCGTGTTAAGAGACAAAAATGGTGACGTATGATCTCCTGGGGGCACCCTCCACCGGAAAACGGGAAGGAAAGCACTGCGCATTCGGGAAGCCCACTCTAAGGGAAGAATCATGGGAAAGAGGCCAGCCTGTAAAAGTCCTAGGATCTTGGTTAGGCACTTGACCTTCTCTCTTTAACCTTCACGTGCCCGCTTGGGTTTCTTCCAAGCGCACCTTCCTTTCTTTCCTGTTCTAAGGCCTTTTTAAATAAACTTCCATTCCTACTCTGGAACTTGCCTTGGTCTCTTTTTCTGCTTTCTGCCCCACAGTCGAATTCTTTCTTCTGATGAAGCAAGGACTAAAGTTGCTACAGACCCATAAGGATAGGCTGCAGGTAACTTGGGGTAACTCAGACCTCTTCCACCACTAACAAAACCATATCACCCATTGAGAAGACTCTTAGGCTAGACGCGGTGGCTCACGCCTGTAATCCCAGCACTTTGGGAGGCTGAGGCGGGCGGATCACCTGAGGTCAGGAGTTTGAGACCACTAGCATGGTAAAACCCCGTCTCTACTCAAAATACAAAAATCAGCCGGGTGTGGTGGCGCATGCCTGTAATCCCAGCTACTCGGGAGGCTGAGGAAGGAGAATCACTTGAACCTGGGAGGCGGAGGTTGCAGTGAGCTGAGATTGCGCCATTGCACTCCAGCCTGGGCAACAGAGCAAGACTCTGTCTCAAAAAAAAAAATAGAAGACTCTGTTCTAGGTTCCATACTCACTGAAAGAGTTAGAGACTGGGGTCACAGTCAAGGAAGCAGATAAATGTCAGGATATGTAGCTTGTCTTCAGGCTTCACAGAAGTGGTGTGAGCTGAATTTTGAAGAATGAGTGGGAGGTAAAGAGAGAATTGGCATGTGCAAAAGAACTGAGGGGCAAAATGACCAATGTGATTGAGAAGTGTGGGAGGCAACGGAGACAGCTGAGGAGAGCTGGTCAGGGTTTGGTGATGAAACGCCTATGACTACTAAGGAGTTGGGAGAGATACTGAAGGGCTTTATTGCAGAGGCAGGAATGACAAGATCAAATATGAATGTTAGAAATAAAGTTCTAAGGGCTTAAATAAGGGTGACATGGAGAGAGCTAGCATTGCCAGTGGGGAACCAATGAGGAATTGCATGTTTGCACAGTGTGATCCCCCAGTTAAATAGTCTGGGTTGGGGAATTAAGCCAAACCAGGCCAATTAGAATTACTTCTCTAAGAATTTGGAATTGGGAGACAAAGAGCTACATCTCTGCTCAGACTTAAATTGGACTTAAGGGTAATTTGGGAGCTATGCAGTAGTCATCTTCTACTTGCCCATTTGGCCTGAGCAGCATTGAAAACCAGTTTGCTGAGAAAGAAGATCAATCAGTTGCACACAGAGAAGCAAGTCTAGACACAAAAAGACTGCTCCCTAGGTTCTTGGGACCTTCCAGCAGCTGGTTCCACTTCTTTCTGAGGCCCAGCAGGATTCCTTCCCCAGGATCATGATGCATCCTTCTATCCATTCATAGGAATCTCATTTTTGGCTTCAGCGAGTGTGGGTTACTTCCTGTTGTTTGTGTTAAAGAATAACTTTCAAAAAGGTAAAATAATGAGCCTTATGCAAGTATTTTTATTTTTTATTTTTTGAGACAGGTTCTCTGTTACCCAGGCTGGAGTGCAGTGGTGCGATCATGGCTCACTGCAGCCTCGACTTCCGGGCTTCAGCGATCCTCCCACCTCAGCCTCCAGAGTAGCTGGGACTAAAGATATTTTTTGCATTTTTGGTAGAGACAGGGTTTTGCCATGTTACCCAGGCTGGTCTTGAACTCCTGAGCTCAAGCAATCCACCCGCCTCCACCTCTTAAAGTGCTGGGATTACAGACATGAGCCACTGAGCCTGGCAGAGCCTTATACAAATATACAATGAACATATTTCAAATTTTTTATTTAACTAATGAGGGAACCAGTAAGATACTAAAACCAGTTCAAATGAAGATTTGACTTAGAAATGTCTTTTCTCTAATGGACAAAATTTATTTGCATCACCCAGAACAGGAATCGTTTGCACTGTTATGGGCAGAAAATCTTTTGTATTATTTATTGTCAGTATTCTGAAGTTAACTTCTAACTCCAACGAGTTAGAAAATAGCTTACTTGTAAAATAGGAACCTAGTCAAAGGAAATCAAAGGCTCTCACCGCTAATATAATCAAATAATTCCCAAAGATTCTTAACAGCACCCAACATTCCATTAAAAAGACACCCATTTCAAAGTATTTCTTAAGTTTTCCAGACACTTGCAAATCAAAGAATATACGAAAACACAGAGACATAAGAAAGCATGATGCTGGCCGGGTGCGGTGTCTCACACCTGTAATCCCAGCACTTTGGGAGGCCAAGGCAGGCACATCACCTCAGATCAGGAGTTCAAGATCAGCCTGGCCAACATGGTGAAACCCCGTCTCTACTAAAAATACAAAAATTAGTTGGGCATGCTGGCAGGTGCCTGTAATCCCAGCTACTCAGGAGGTTGAGGCAGGAGAATCGCTTGAACCCGGGAGGTGGAGGTTGCAGTGAGCTCAGATTGCACCATTGCACTCCAGCCTGGGTAACAAGAGCGTAACTCCATCTCAAAAACAAACAAACAAAGAGGCTGGGCACGGTGGGTCATGCCTGTAATCCCAGAACTTTGGGAGGCAAAGGTGGGTGGATCACCTGAGGTCAGGAGTTCGAAACCAGCCTGACCAACATGGTGAAAAGCCCACCTCTACTAAAAATACAAAATTAGCCAGGCATGGTGGCACATGCCTGTAATCCCAGCTACTTGCCTCTCTGAGGCAGGAGAACTGCTTGAACCTGGGAGGTGGAGGTTGCAGTGAGCCGAGATCACACCATTGCACTCCAGCCTGGGCAACAAGAGTGAAACTCTGTCTCAAAAAAAAAAAAAAAAACAAAGAAAGCATGATGCCTTAGGGAAACTCAAGTAGTATGGGCATTAGTTAAGCATGGGCAAAGTGTAGGAGGGAGGCAACAGCAAGATTAGGAAGGGCCTTGTATGTGTGTTTGGGAGTTTGGATTTTATTTTCTTGAGATGGAGTCTTGCTCTGTCACCCCAGGTGGAATGCAGTGGTGTGATCTCGGCTCACTGCAACCTCTGCCTCCTGGGTTCAAGTGATTCTCCTGCCTCAGCCTCCCGAGTAGCTGGGATTACAGGAGCCCGCCACCACGCCCAGTTTCACCATGTTGGCCAGGCTGGTTTTGTACTTCTGACCTCAGGTGATCTACCCGCCTCAGCCTCCCAAAGTGCTGGGATTACAGGCATGAGCCACCATGCCCAGCTAAGTTTGGATTTTATTCTGAAGGCTGTTGGCACTATTATTTCATGCAGGGGAGTGATGTGAACATATCTGAGCTTTAGAAATCTCACTTCAGTAGGAGTGTGGATATTGAATTACAGGAAGGTAATCAATCAACCAGTTAGGAGATTGATAATTATGATGAGAACTGAAAGAGTCTGAATTAGGGCAGTGGCTGAAGGCTTAGATAAGAGGAGATAGATTCAAGGATGATTTAGGGTATAGAAATCTGTAGAATTTAGTGATTAATTGAATGTGTCATGGGGGTGGGTGGGGTAACATACAGCAAATAGTCTTGAATGACTCCCAGGATCCTCCAAATGATGTGTCTTTTCCAAAACGCTTTTCATGAATCTTAGAAGATTTGGTAGATAATTTGGAGCTGGAATCACAGGGATATGTTGGGGCTAGGACAGTGTTCCTTGTTCATTTCTTTGGGGCACCACGAACTGCGCCTATAGAAGATGCCAAACTTAATAAATGCCTGTTCTGACTGCTCCACCAACCCGTCATTCCCATCTTTACCTCTCCTCAGGCCTCCCTATTCCCTGAGACACAACAATATTGAAATCAGGCCAATTAATAACCCTAAATGGCCTCTAAGTGTTCAAGTGAAAGGAAGAGTCACATATCTGTCACTTGAAATAAAAAGCTAGAAACGATTAAGATTATTGAGGAAGGCATGTCGAAAGCCAAGACAGGCTGAAAGCTAGGCCTCTTATACCAGTTAGCCAAGTTGTGAATGCAAAGGAAAAGTTATTGAAGGAAATTAAAAGTGCTATTCCAGTGAACACACAAATAAGAAAGCAAAACAGCCTTATTGCAGATACAGAGAAAGTTTGAGTGGTCTGTATAGAAGCTGAAACCAGCCACAGTATTCCCTTAAGCCAAAACCTAATCCAGAGCAAGGCCCTAACTCTCTTCAATTCTATGAAGGCTGGGGAAGAAGTTACAGAAGAAAAGTTGGATGCCAACAGAGGTGGGTTCATGAGGTTTACAGAAAGAAGTCGTCTCTATAACATAAAAGTACAAGGTGAAGGAACAAGTGCTGATGCAAAATGTACTTAGTGAATGGTCCTTTTTAGTAGCAACCAGTACTTGTCACTTTAAGTTTCGCTTTAGTAGTTAAAGTGATTTAATGAAATAATTTTTAAAAACTTCAACCTTTACAATTAATGCTTTTCCTTATCTTTCAGCTGGGCTGCTGCATGTGGCCAGGTTCAGTGGGCTTTGTAGATGTCTGTTTTTCTACTTACCCCTCCTCCCTCCTTCAGCTTGCTAATTCTTTTTTCTCCGGGGCTTAAGCAGGACAGGAGAGGGAAGAGATGAAGAAAGCCTTTACTTGACTAATACAGTCATAAACTAATTTTAAGGCTTGGCAGATAAGTTAGGCATGGTGGCTCATGCCTGTAATCCCAGCACTTTGGGAGGCTGAGGCGGGTAGATCAGTTGAGACCAGGAGTTTGAGACCAGCCTGGCTAACATGGCAAAAACCCGTCTCTACTAAAGATACAAAAATTAGCCGGGTGTGGTGGTGTGCACCTGTAATCCCAGCTACTCGGGAGGCTGAGGCAGAATTGTTGGAACCTGGGAGGCAGAGGTTGCAGTGAACCGAAATAGCGCTACTGCACTCCAGCCTGGGCGACAGAGTGAGACTCCATCTCAAAAAAAAAAAAAAAAAAAAAAAAAGGCCTGGCAGGTATCTAAAGTTGACTCGTTTTCAAGAGGTCCTTTTATAGGTTCTTCAGAAATTCTCTCCCCATTGGTGGAGATATCTCTTCTATAGTGAGTTACTTCAGTGTGGGTGAATCTGGCTCCTGTGGTTGGTCACTTACAACTCCATTAAAAATTTCTAGACATTAAAAAACTCAACTTTATTGAGATATAGTTTACATAAAATAAAATGTATAAATCTTAAGTATACAGGTCAATGAATTTTGACAAATACATACCCATGTAACCACCTCCAAAATCGAGATAAAGAAAATTTTCCTTATGCCCCTTCTTTCTTTCTTAGTATAAATCCACAGGCATTTGACAGCATATCCCCTGCTTCTTTCTGCTGAAGTCTCCTCAAAATTTCAGATAATTTATCTAACGAGATCAAGAAACGCTAAAGACATGGCCCATATCCGGTCTATGGGTAGCACTCATGCATCCCTTGCTTATAAATGGGAAGTAATTGTCACTAAATTATACCTTTTTAAATGGTTGATTTTATTTTATGTGATGCCTCGATGGGAATATGTTTGTGTAGGGCCCTGGGAAGGTTTATGCTTGCTCTGAGTATAGGAGATAGGGCCCAAAGTAAAATTCTTAGGTTCCATCTTCTTTTCCCTTCCCCATACTGTCTCTTGTCACCCCCTACCTCTACATATGCTTGTCTGGATTAAAACTTGCAAGAGATGGTGGGAGGCAGGCCTGAGGTTGCTTTTTTTTTCTTTTTCTTGAAATGCTGCAACTCTGGCAGATATCTGGGGGCTCTTTCCTTACCCCTCCTTGCCTTTCTGGGAATAGCCTTCTGGACAATTAAGAGGCTTAGTCCCTAGTGAGAATGAAGGAGCAGGTTTATGCTGGTTTCCCAGGGACTCTAATTCTTCCTAAGTTGCATGAGTACGAGGGAGGAAGAGCACTGACTGCCTCCTTTGGAATTTCCCTAGGGCCTCTATCTTTTTCAAAAAAAGGGTGTTTCTCTTGGACATCCTGGGCTTCACTATCTTGCCAGAAGTGATGAGGGCCCCAAAGCCTTGTTTATGGGAGAATGCATAGGCAGAACGTCGAGTGCTTGAGTGTTTCAGTTTGGTCCAGACTGGGGACTGCTGTGGAAGTCTCCTGCACTCTTGAATTCTGTCAAAAACCTATAGCCAGAGCATGGGGGATAGGGTTTTCATCCACAGAGGCAAAAGCAAAAGAAGGTCATGAATTATATCTGCGTAGATTTTCTGTTGCACTTACTTTGTCCATGCTGATAGGCCAGAATAGTGGTTTAAGAAATTGGTGCCCAATCACAGGCAACATACAGAGGACCACACTGAGGATAATGCTCAGCAGCATTTGCGGCTGGTTCAGAGAATTCCTGACCACACCTGTAAACAGTGAGCCAGGAGGGGAAAGGCTGAAACAGAGCCTGGAGGACCGGGGTAGGACCAGGGGTAGGAGTTACCAGCCAGAACGTAGACACCTCTCTAGTCCAAAGAAGGAAGTTACTGACTTGTAGTTAGTTTAGGCTCCTGAGAAATAATATAAATACAAAAGAATTGTAGTTGGGTCCTTTGTGCAGCCAAAGTCACTGTGAATCCATGTGCCTCTCTCTCCCTCTAAAGGCAGGGCAGGGTAGGGCAGGATAGGAGAGCAGGGGTAAGTTATGAGGGAATCCTAGAGCACTGGCTTGCATCCAAAAATGGGAAAGAAAGCTTTGGAGGAGGAAAAAACAAAAAAATAAAAATAAAAAAGGTAAAAAAAAAAAATTAAAAAAAGAAAAAAAAAGATTTGAAGGAGAAAAATAAGTTAGTGGCCTGACAAAAGGTGAGAGACAGCCAGGTGCGGTGGCTCACGCTTGTAATCCCAGCACTTTGGGAGCCCCAGGCCGGCAGATTGCTTGAGGCCGGGAGTTTGAGGCCACCCTGGCCAACATGGCAAAAACACGTCTCTACCAAAAATACAAAAAAATGAGCAGTGCATGGTGGTGCACAACTGTAGTCCCAGCTAGTGGGGAGGCTGAGGCACGAGAATCGCTTAAACCCAGGAGGCAGAGGTTGCAGTGAGCCAAGATTGCACCACTGCACTCCAGCCAAGGCGACAGAGGTAGAGCAACAGAGTCTCAAAAAATTAAAAATAAAAACAAAAAGATGGGAGCCAACTACATCTACATATCTACTCTCTATATTTTGTCTTCAGCAAAGTGGAGATGAGAGAGAGGGAAAAATTATGGGAGACAACAAGGCGATATGCCACAGCATAAAGGACATTGAACTGGAACCAGGAAACCTAGATTTAAGTCCTTTAATTAAAAAAAAACCCTCCGGTGTCTAAAATGGCTCTAAAAATTGTTGCACTGCCTACCTCTTAGGATGCTGATAAATAGCAAATCTCGTAAGACATTTGAAAATACCTTGGAAACTCAAATAAGGTAACTTATTTCCCTAGCTACATTTTGAGCCCTTTTAGGGCAGAGACCATGTCTTATTTATATCTCTAGCCTAGCACATAGTAATGGCTTCTCGGTAAACATTTATTAAATAAATATACCTGGTTCCCCACCCTCCGCCCACTGGGCAGGGCCTTACCTAGGAATTGGAAGACGTCAGGGAATACTAGACACAAGCCATCGCTGTACAGGAGGAATGACACCCAAAAGTAGAAACCCAGGCTACCCCAGATGACAACATGGTTTATCATTGTCCAGTAGGTTGTCCTCAGGGCGATCTGAAAAGTACCCTCTTATGGGACCTGTAACCTGGGACCTGTCAGCTACCTCCCCCCTCCAATTATGTAATGAAGGTTGCTCCCTTCCCACACTCTCACCCTCTATTCCTCCCACTCTTTCAGAGAGGCCCCCACCCAATCCCCTTACCCCCACCACCACTGGCCACACCTGCATTGCGACCACCCAGATCAAGGAGGTCTGCACCACCAGGGAGAAGGACTGGTAGTCGGAGATGTCCTTCCCATCATTTCGTTCTGCATTGTAAAGAGCCCCCATGGGGACAAAGAACAACACGAAGGAACTGTAGATCCCATGCATTAAACACTTCACAAATTCTTTCTTGTTGAAATAGAGGTTGTGCTGGCCTGGCTCATACAGCTCTGGGAAATGGAGGCTCCATGTCTCATTCACATCCTGGAAGCACCCGAGGGTAAGGAGGGAGGCTCAGGGTCTCTCCATAGAAGGTCCCATCTCCATCAGAGTAGAGGCTTCTCCCCTCACCAGGTCTGCTGCCAGGCTGCCTAGGAGCTTCCTTATGGGTTACTGGAGAAGTGGAACCAGAGAACACAGCAGTGACCACAGACCCTTCCTGAAGTCCTACTCTCTAGGCAAGGATCTGGGTAGTGGAAGGAAGCTGGGAGAAGTTCGGGATGCTGGGAAGGACTTGGAGGGAGTTAGAATTGGGGAGTTATGAAAGGGAGCAACTAGGCTTGTGGGTAGCTGGGAGGGAGGACTGGAGCTTGAGATGGGGGAGGCAGCTGGGACATAAGTCCCCAGGTGTAAGAGTTCTTTCAGTTGAGATGGAGTCTTGCTCTATCACCCAGTCTGGAGTGCAGTGGCACCATCTCGGCTTATTGCAACCTCTACTTCTCAGGTTCAAGCAATTCTCTTGTCTCAGCCTCCTGAGTAGCTGGGATTACAGGTGTGTGCCACCACACCTGGCTAATTTTTATATTTTTAGTAGAGATGGGGTTTCGCCATGTTGGCCAAGCTGGTCTCAAACTCCTGACCTCAAATGATCCACCTGCCTCGGCCTCCCAAAGTGCTGGGGTTACAGGTGTGAGCCACCGTACCCGGCCATAGTTGAATATTCTTTATGCCAAAAGTCAATATGGGAGAAAGCAACATCAATGGGGACCAGTTAGTCTTTTAGAGGTATTCATGTTCTGTGAGGTTTCTCCCACTCCCATAGCTACTGGTGAACTGAAGGTGAAAAAATTACTCAAAGTGGATGTCATTGGATCATCTTCATCTCCTAACTCTGAAACTTTGGATACAAAGCTTGGGGCTGGCTTCAGAGATGGATCCCTAGAATTAGGCCACTGAAGCTGGATGGACTGTTGAGTAATACAACCCACCCCTCTTGTTGTTCTGAGGTTAGCAGTTACTTCCTGGAGAATTTCCTTTAGAGCTATTTCCCATGGAGACCAAGAGCCATGATCCCATGATGTCCTATTTCAGCTACTTTATTCCTTTTTGGAGACTCATTTTCTACTCCATGTGCCCAGGACTAGAGGTTGGGGTAGAAGACAAGGGAGAGGTAGGGTCCCAGGACCCTCAATTTCTGACAGGGACAGACGGTATCCCTTAGTCTGGCTCCTTATGATATAAACTATCACACCCATACTCCCATGCCTGGCCTTCAGGACTCCCTCCCAGGCCCTCCTGCTTTGGCTTATCTCATCCTCATTATCGCTGAAGGAGTCTCTCCTTTTTGAAGTCCCATACGTTACCCAGTCCTACCCCAATAACTCTATTTTCTTTTCTTTATTTTTTTCCATTCATATTCTGCTTATGTTATTTAATTTTTCCTTATTTTTCCATATATATTTTAATTACTTTTATATATACTCAATTTACTGTACAGCACAATTTCCATGTTTCTCTCTACAAAGATAAAATTGATACAGGAAAACTTGGCTAAAACTGAGGATTATTCTCTGTTGAGGAGGATTTTTTACTTTATCTCATGATACCTATCTAGGTGATGAGCTCTTTTCCCCGCTCTGGAAATTATTCCCTTTACACTGGATTTTGTAGAGCCCAGCTCTTGCTGTATTCTTCATTCTTAGGGATATTCCTCAAGGGCCCAGGGGCTTCAACGCTGACCAGGGGCTTGCTGCTGGATCTTACCTGATCAAACAGACTCATGCACAGGACAGGGAGGGAAGTGTAGACCAGACTGTAGCATGTGATAAACCAGGTCTCATAAACTGTCTGGAAGAATACCAAGGAGATTTTGTAGGCTCCTCTCTTCTCTACAGTCCCAGCTCCACCTTCCAGGTCCAAGATAGCCACCTTCATCCCTCGACCCCTGCCCCCCCGCCCCACCCCCACACACATTAACCTACAGCAGGAGAAACCTGACTGAGAATGTTGACCCCAGTCTCTACTTGATCCTACTTTATTAGAACCCTAGGTCCTAGGATAGAGTAAGGCCACACCAAGCTTTCAAGGTGGATCTGGACCAATCCCACCATAACCTATACAGCCCCGCACAGAAAGGACACAGAGTGATTGCTAGGGAATGCTAGCTGTACCCCTGCATTCCTAGGCAGGTAAACCTTTGTACTTTTTTTTTTTTTTTTTTTTGAGATGGAGTCTTGCTCTGTCACCCAGGCTGGAGTGCAGTGGTGTGATCTCAGCTCACTGTAACCTCTGCCTCCTGGGTTCAAGCAATTCTCCTGCCTCAGCCTCCAGAGTAGCTGGGACTACAGGCACCCACCACCACACCCAGTTAATTTTTGTATTTTTTGTAGAGACGGGGTTTTGCCATGTTGGACAGGCTGGTCTTGAACTTCTGACCTCAGTTGATCCACCTGCCTCGGCCTCCCAAAGTGTTGGAATTACAGGTGTGAGCCACTTTGCCCAGTCTTTGGACTCTTTACTTGCTTAGTGGCATTCAGTGGCTTCTGTAGCACTGCATACCGCCTAATATTGGCAAGCAGAATAGACCCAATGACCCTTCCCTGGCTGGACGCTCCATCCTGGGACCTAGAGAGGGCTTTTTCTTTATTAGCCACAAGAGGTCAGCAGCAACACATGCATACACATATGCCTCCCACAAAGCCGACTGGCTTTGCTAGGGCTTGGGAGAATACAAATCTGCTACTATTTGCTGACTGGCCTGTTATTCCTGGACTCTATGGCAACAAAAGTAGGACTCCCAAGATAATTGTTTCTGAGGTTGTTTCTCTTGGGAATCCTTGAGATGCTTCTGAAAAACTTCTCATAGGAAAAGGGACTCCTCTTAGAGCATCAAAATCCAGGTGTTGCTTCTCCCCACTAAGGTGGGGGAGGTTTCACATTCAAATGTGGAATGAATTCATCAAAGTAACAATTGTGTGTGTGTTGGGGTCAGGAGTACAGGCTGTCTGAGTGGGGAAGGAGAAGCAAAGGGAAGCTGTATTTCCGAGTATGGCTATAGGTGAACGCCATATCTGGCCTATCTGGCATGACCCAGAGGCTCCTTGAGGCTTAGCCTGTTCCAAAAAGATGACTTTGGATGCTAAGAAAACTCCAAGATCCAGGAATTTGTTCCCACTACATATGTTTGGAAATTCTAAGTCTCAACATCAGTGAAAACAGCTTAAGGGAAAGTTTAACCCAGGTGTGGTGGCCACGCCTGTAATCCTAGCTACTTAGGAGGCTGAGGCATGACAATCACCTGAGCCTAGGAGGCGGAGGCTGCAGTGAGCTGAGATCGTGCCGCCGCACTCCAGCCTGGGGGATGCAGCCAGACTCCGCGGGGAAAAAAAAAAAAGACGAGCTGAGGGGAAAGAATCATATAAGGGGATAGTCAGATATTAAGAAAGAGAGAATACAGGATTGACTGAGGTTCCTGAAGAAGTAGGAAGGGATGGAAACTACAATATATAGATTAGTACTGAAGGAAAAAGTTATACTTCTTTTGAGACTGAAGGAAAGGAGGTAAAGGCGGGTTAAAATATATGTACAGAGGAGGATATTTAGCTGATAGTTTGGATTTTTCTCAGTAAAATAGAAGGCAGTATCATTTGCTACGTACTGGGGAGCCAGGAGAGTGTGGTAGAAGGTCTGAGAATGGTGATTGTTTAGAAAAGCTGATACGGAGAATAAAATATGAAGCCAATTACAAAATGGTGAAAAATTTGCCAAGTGGCACTGGGACAGAGGACAGTGGAGTCTCTGAATTTGTAATGGTTTTATGATCTCCAAAATAGTGCTTAACACTCTCAAATTAGAAACAGAGCAGGGTCGATGGTTTGGTTAATTCAAGGTTGAGATTTGTTCAGTGATTAAAGAGAAGAAAAGGAGAACTAGTAAGGTACTGAGGATGCTTATGATCCCAGGGTACAGACAGGCAAGCTAGGAAAGGAAGTAAAGTCATAAGGAATTGATAGACTGGAGAAAAAAGAAAGCCAAGGGTTTATAAATCTCCATGAGATAAAAAAGCAGGAATACTTTTAAAAATCTCAAGTACGAGCCATGTACTGAGAATATGGAGGAATAAGGTTTGTGATCAAAGATTGTGAAAAGAAAGTTTATAATTCCACATTAGTACAACTCTGGACAATTACATGGTAACATGGAAATGGGTGATACAGATTTTTTTTTTTTTTTGTCCAAGAGATCATCTGAAGGATTCTTTCAGAGACCTGAAAGAGTCTACAGTGATAGGTCGTCCATAAGGATGACAATACCACCCAAAACAATAGCAGTGGTTGGGAGGGGAGGGAGAAGTTTCAAAGCCCTCAATGAATGGGGTGTAGAAGCCAGAAGCTTCCTAGATATCAACAACAAGAAGAGTTACAGATGAGTATAGCCAGAAGTCATAAGCATCACAGGAAGAAAGATTGTGTAGGAGAGAAAAACTAATGGTTAAACATGGCACAGGATAATGAGGGCAACACCTTTGGGCTTATGGTATCCAGAGTTTATGGTATGCAGAGTATGAGAGAGATGGAAGAAAAAGGAATGTTCTCAGGGAAAATCATGTTTCAATTAATGAAGGGATTGAGGCTATAGGTAAGTTTGTTTATAAGAGAACAAAAATTCCAGTGATTTAGTGAAAAATGTGTTACGGTCAATCAGTAGTGGACAGAAGGAGAGGAAAGAAACTCCAGGAGGGATTTACTCCCTAGAAGCTATAATTTTGCCTATATTGCCAAGGTCATTAGCCAAGCCCCTGGAAGATGATTTAAGGCAAATCACTGAATTTCCTTCCCCTTCCCAATCTCTTTGGATGGACAGGGGTAAGGCAACAGTTGAGAACTGGAGTCAGATGTTTGGTACATAAGTCAAGTGGCTCAGTTTGGAATTGGGTCTAGCAAGACAGAGATAAGGTGAGGAATACCCTGAAGGCAGCAGAAGAACCCCTGTGAAGGGACACTTAAAAACAAATCCATAAACAAAAGCTGGGTCCAATACTAGAGAAAACAGTAAAAACCAACTAGAGATAAGAAGAATGAATAGGAAGATATTTTTATAATTTTATAAAGCCTGTTGAATATGTCACAAATCCTTAAGTTACAAAGGAAAATGACTGATAGATTTGATTACATGAATTAAACACTTCTACACAAAATATTATTTAACAAATTAAAAACCAAAAGACAAAATGGGAAAAATAATTATAACATATGCACCAGAAAAAGGAAGAGCTAGTATTTTTACTGTATAAAGAGCATTTTCAAATAAGAAAAAAAGGCCAAAGAATATGAATAGACAGTTCACAAAGTAAGTGTAAATGGGCAATAAAGAGATGATAAGGGGAAGAAAAATAAGCACATAAAAATGATTCAACCTAATTAGTCATCAAAAAAGGTAAATTAAATAATTAGATACCATTTTTCATCAATTAAATTTCAACAGATTAAAAATTGTTAATACCAGTTCTGACAAGCATATGGGGGAAAACAAAATGTCATATATTTTTGGTGGGATTATAAAGTTATGCGAATCTACCTGGAGGGCAATGTGGCACTATTTAATGTATTAAAACGTGGCTACCTTTTGACCAATGAATTTTACTTCTAGGACTTTATTCTAAAGAAATAATTATCAGAAAAGTAGACAAAATGTATGTTCCATAATGATTACCAAAATGTCATTTGTAATCGCAAAGGAAAATGGAATAAAAATAAGAAATTAAATAAATTAAGGTACAGTGATACAACTGAATAGTGGACACCCATTCAAAATGATGATGTAGACCTAGACCTACCGACATGGAAAGATGACGACAATAATAGTGTCAAGTGAACAAAAGGAAACTGGAAATAGCATGCATACTATGATTTTATCTCCCCCATCTTCTAGATCTAGATGTACATATGTGTGTGTGTATACACATATGAAAAGCATAGGATATACTCCCCAACTTTACACTGGCTATCTAAATGGGATGGAATAATTTTAACTTTCTTCACACATTTCTGTATTATTTAATTTTTTTTTTTACAGTGAGCATGGATTATTTTTTAAAGAGAAAAAGCCAATAAAGCTATTTTTGTTTAAAAAGAACAAACGAAGATCTTCAGAATTAAACATAGGTCATTTATATAATGCTTTCTGATATTACAGGACCAGTAAAAGCTTTAATATTTCAGTGGCTAAGGGAGTCTCGATTTGTATTAAGGATGCTTCTCTGAAGCACAGCCTCACTCAGCTCCCACATGCATTTCCCATGGAGCTGTAATCACTCACCTCAGAGACCGTCACCCTCTGTCCATCCTTGTCATAAGTATCACCTGTTGGTAAGTGAACACAGCAGAGACTTGGCAAGGGTTTTAAAGGAGGGTTTGAATTTCTTTAAATTGTTGTTAAAAAAATATACATATATATCACATAAAACTTGCCATTTTAACTATTTTAAATGTAAAATGCAATGACATTAATTATATTCACAATGTTGTGCAACAATCACCACTATATATTTCCAACATTTTTTCAGCACCCCAAACAGAAACTTCCCATTTTTTCCCATCACCAGCCCCTAGTAACCTCTAGTCTATTTTTTGTCTCTATGAATTTGCCTATTCTAGATAGTTCACATAAGTAGAATCATAAAATTTTTGTCTTTTTGTGTTTAGCTTACATCACTTAGCATAATGCTTTCAAGGTTCATCCATGTTGTAGCATGTATCAAATTTCATTACTTTTTATGGATGATTCACATTCCATTGTATGTATATGCTATACCACAGTTTCTTTATCCATTCATCTGTGGATGGACATGTGGGTTATTTCTATCTCTGGACTTATGCGAATAATGTCACAATGAACGTTGGTATACATGTATCCGAGTTCTTGTTTTCAAGTTTTGGGGGTATATACCTAGGAATCAAATTGCTGGGTCATATGGTGATTTAAAGGAGGGGCCTTAAAAGCTTATTTATTCTGATTCCTTCATCCTAGACTTGCAGTCAAGATGCCTGCCCCCCAGTCTCCTCAGGCCACCTAGCTCCCAGTTCCCAGTAAGCTCCTTTCCCTAAGCCAATGGTAAGAAGAGGTTTGCTTGGGCCTCAACTCTTCTCCCCTAAGTGAGAATAAGATGAAGCTAGAAGTTAGTCACTGGATCTGTGATAGACTTCACACCTCAGGAAGCCCTCCAATCATAAGAGTTACCCAGAAGAGATGTGGACACAGTTTTAGAATGTTTGGGATTCTTGACCAGTGGATGACAGACTGAATAGGGGTAGAAGACATGTCTGATGCCAAGCATGGAAACACTCATGGTCCTTTTCAACTTTACCCAGTATATGGTCAGGTCAGAGAATTAAGAGGCTCACCCAAATCAGCTCATCCAAAAATAAGCCTTCAGAGTTTATATAAGTGAAAATTTGTTTGACATGGTTACCAAACAAATAATAGGAAATATAGGAAATAATAGGAAATATTAGAGTGCTCTAGTCTTTTTTTTTTTTTTTTTTAGACAGGAGTTTCACTCTTGTCACCCAGGCTGGAGTGCAGTGGCATGATCTTGGCTCACTGCAACTTCCACCTCCCGGGTTTAAGAAATTCTCCCACCTCAGCCTCCCAAGTAGCTGGGATTACAGGCATGTGCCACCATGCCTGGCTAATATTTTTGTATTTTTTGTTGAGATGGGGTTTCACCATGTTGGCCAGGCTCGTCTCGAGCTTCTGACCTCAGGTGATCCGCCTGCCTCAGACTCCCAAAGTATTGAAATTACAGGCGTGAGCCAACGCACCCGGCCTAGCTTTTTTTAATTAAAAAATTTCAATTACTTATTGATATGAAATTTACTTAGTTAACATATAATTATCCATTTTAATGTGTACAATTTAGAGGCATTTAGTGCATTTACAATGTGCAACTACCACCTCTCTCAAGTTTCTAAACTTTTTCGTCACCCCAGAAAGATTATTCCATGTGTTCTAGTTTTTTAGATGTGATTACCTTCCTCTGTTAGCTAGGACACTGGGTATGACTGTTCACACACATGAGGACTTAACTCTATCACAAAAACAAGCTTATGCTTAAGGCATAAGATAAATAAGGGATTGGGCCTGGGAGACACTGATCAAACTCTGACTACCCTTTGATGGTTTCTCTCAATAATATTTATTGCTGTAAAGGGGAATCAAGAAATTAGCAGCTTCAGTAATACATTGACTGCTCCATTTAATTTATTTTTAATTTTATTATTAATTGACAAATACTAATTGTATATATTTATGGATACAATGTGATGTTTTCATATATGTATACACCATGGAATGATTATATCAAGCTAACTAACATATTTATCACCTTGCATACTTATTTTTTTGTAGTGAGAACATTTAAAACTCTTTTAGTAATTTTGAAATATGCAATACATTATTATTAACTAGGATCAACATGCTGTGCAATGGATCTTGAAGACTTATTCCTCCTGCCTAACTGAAACTTTGTACCCTTTGACCAACATCCATCTGATTTAAAGTGGGAGTGAACTGAGTACATAGACATTGGGGACTCCTTGAGGACAGAGACTAAGTCTTGCACATCTCGGTATTCTCAATGCCCAACACAATAGATTGTACCTATAAGATGCTAAATAAATGCTTTTTGGTTAGAACTGTTTGGGCTGGGTGGTCTTTGCTTAGAGAATAGAGACAGTTGTGAGAATAGGAGATAAATGTGAATTCCAGAGGCTTACAGATTTAGAGCTAGATTAGTCTTGAAAACAATTTGCAAAGTAAAAATTTCCCAGGACTTGGGGAAAGCAGGAAGACATGCATATCATAGAGCTTCCCATTAATAGAACATTTGTTGAAAATCATAATGTTCTGAGTCAGAGTCCCTGTTTTGTCAGAGAACACATATTTGACTTGGCCGAGCTCCTCAGTAAGGGTGGTAGTACGAGCCTGTGCTGGTGTGTTCCTTGGTGCATAAAACATCTTCCGATCCCAGTTGATATATAAACTGTTGCCCAATCTTATTATTTCAACACTAAGGAGAAAGCAGAAAAAGAATGGTTCTGCGTCAGAACAGGACAAGCAAATATATCATCCTGGTTTCTTTCTTAGCAGGGCTAAGCATCTGAAAATCAGAGTGTCTTCCTTGGGATTCTACCCTTCTGAAGGACCCTTCCCACCAGCCAACCCATTGTAATGCTGACTTTGGCCATTATCACCCAAGGCTTTACCACCTGGACCCAGATATACTTGATTAACTTTTTTGAGTCATACCTGGCTTTTATTCTTTTTTTTTTTTTCCATAATGTATCCAGGAAAAGTTACAATTTTGGAATTTCTGCAGTAATGCAAGGTGTGATAGAGTAACAGTTAACTTATAAAAGGCTGTGTTGGCCCAATTGGAGGATTATTGCTCCTGTCACATGGGGAAGACAGAGAACCTTGACACACTCAGAGTTTATTTCAGAAGAAGGAAAGAAGCTATGAAAATCAGGAATAGTTTATGGGCTGACCCTCTGATAAATTTCCAGGCAGAGCCAGCCTGCCTGTGGTGTGTCTCCTCCCACAACAACCTCTTCTCATTTTATATAAGTTTTCCCTATTGCCTCTGTCATACTCCTCTTCTGCTCCAAATAGCGTCCATTATAGATTCTTTATGGCTAACAAGCATGTTCATTTTAAAACAGTGAAGACTTTTAAGGGGTCTCCTTCTTATCATCATTCATACTTAATGTGTGTTAGTCTGCTTTATTATAAGAGTGATTATTAGTAATCCCTGTCTGAGACAGCTGCACTGACAGATGGGGATTTTTTCCTTTGAGGTGAGGAAGGAGGTGCTCAGGTCCTCATCATTGACTCATTACTGATAATCTCTATGCCTGGAGTTGGGACCCCTCCCATCCTTTACCATATCAGCCACCATAGCAATCTCTCTAAACCTTAGCACATAGTAGATACTCAATAAATATTACTAAATAAGGTAATCTAGTTACATAGGGTCCTTTTTTTTTTATTGCCAAAAAGCCCCGGTACAGGGTTTAGAAAGCCTGGAAAGGAGGAAACTAAAATGTGTTTGGGTGTGTGTATGTGTAAGGAAATGCAGAACCCAGAAAAGGATGATCAGAGTAGGGTAAATACTTTTTTCAGCTATTTCAAATTTTCATTCAAGGTGCTTATGAAAAAGAGGAAGGGAAACCCTTCCTCTTCTCTTCCACAACTTTTAGGAGTTGAACTTAGGTCACAATTACACCTATCTACCATCTGTCACACTGTTTGTGTGGGAAAATGGATTCTGAATTCTGATTAATTGACTTACAAGTGAATGTTTGGACCTATCTCATTGGTAAACTATGGGCTGCCTGGCCTATCTTCCTGGGGAAACTACCCATGCTTTAAGCATCACCAAATTTGTGTGTATGTTTTCTAGTTATTTCATGTGTTTTTATGTCTTATTTAGCCACTTACTTTATAAGTTATTTGAGGGCAGGGATAACTGTCTTTTTGTATAAACCACATAGTGTCTTCCTAGCACAGTATTCTGGACATGGAAGGCATTTATGCAACCTCTAGATATATCTCAGAGCATTTTGTACACCACCTACTGTGGAGAGTGAGGGGTTAAAGAGCACAAGTGTATGCTTTTTAAAAGTTCACACTCTGGTTGGGGAATTAAGTAGACAGTATGAAGTCAGCTCCTCCCCCACACCCCAAAGTGATCAAAGAAGCCTACCTGACATAGAGGGAAATGGGCACCATGGTATTGAGAATAATGAAGTAGGACCAGAATATGAGGATGGCAGAGACAGCTGATGAAGAGACATATTTTACCCATGGCAGAAAAATCTGGAAGTGGTAGCATTTCTTGTTCTGCCAAATGCCATGCCCAACTGCTAGGACAAAACACACGATGCCTAAAACCAGGAAAATCGATACATGAAAAAAAAAAGAATTAAATTAACATTTTATCCAACATATGTGCTGCTTCAGTTCTACAGTCTAGAGCCTTATCTCTCAGCAAAGCGTCCCTCTCCTAGGAGGGCAGGGAGGCCCTATAGTTCACAGTCTCTAGGCAGCAGTACATAGGACAGAAAAGAAAGTCCAGCAGAAGCCCTCCTTGGGATTTTCAAGGGAGATAATAGTAATAAAACATAGTAATAACTAACCAAGTGCTAGGTACTATGCTAAGTATTTATACATATTATTTAATATTTACAATAATCCTCTTTTAATAATAGATGAGGAACTTAAGAGTGAGAAAGAATTTTGTCTAAAGTCACTTAGCTACTGAGTAGAAGAAACAGGTTTTGAACCAGTTCCAGAACCCAAGCACGTAATCATTCCATTATTGAAGCTGCTTTAACAGAAGTCTAAAACGTGTGGGGCTTAGCAGTTAGGGGGTGGGTGATAAGGAAACTGATATAAAAGGCTGAAAATATGGTAGTCATGTTAACATGAAAGAATTTGATAAAACTGAAAGGTAGACCATATGCCTACTGAACCTGCAGCTCTAAGAGAAGTGGTTAAAAAGAATCAAAATATCATTGTGTATTGACTGCCTTTGACAGGTATTAAAAGAAAGAGTTGGTTGGGTGCAGTCACTCATGCCTGCCATCCCAGGATTTTGGAAAGACCAGACAGGAGGATTGCTTGGGGCCAGGAATTTGAGACCAGCCTGGGCAACATACTGAGACCTCATCTGTACTAAAAAATTTTTTTTAAAGTTAAACTAGGGAAAGAATTAGCCAATTTGTAGGCAGAAATAAGGAGGTACAGAAATTTGGGGCATCAAAGAACTACGACTTCTAGACACTAAACAGGAAGAGATAAGATTGAGACCTTAAGCAAAAAAGGCCCAATAATTGTTTTCAACTGAATAAAGTGACTCAGCCTTCGGGCAAAGTTCAGGTTAAAGGTGATACCTTCTTACCCATGACTATTATTCCGCATAGCCTCAACTTTCTTGCCAGTAAGTTGAGAGAGAAGGGCATGGAGGGGCAAGGAAGCAAAGAAACAGGATAAACTCAAAAACTACGTCTAGGAAAGAATTTTGGGGGGCAGGGGGTTACTGATACATGAAACTAATTGGAAGCAAACAGATGAGAAGCCTTATGGGTTTTGAAGGAATGGTATTACTAGATAACTATGAGCCTGGTCTAAAAAAGCCTGTGACTGTTTGGAAATCCTTAAAACCACACTGGGCAGGAAGCAGGTTATAAAAACTGCAGTCCCTAAGAAGAGCATACTCCCCAACATCCACTTCAGGGTTGGTCAGCAAGGATAAAGAATGAGGGAAAACTTCTCAGGAGTGGAGCCAGAAATCACTGAGAGCAATGAATAAAGGAGATCCTCTCACATCTCCAGACCAAGAGGAACTTCATTTAGATCTGATGGAGAGGACTGTGCATCAGTGAGAGATCTTGGACTCTGAGTTGGATGCAGAGACTGGGTAGGATTTGGGGGAGATGATGAGGGTGTTCCATATGTGGGAGGAAAAGTGAAATGGTATGATGATCAGAAGGGTAGATTGTGGCAGCGATAATGATATGTATTCATTAAATTCTATTTTCTTTTCCTTCTGAGCACATATCTAGAGCACATTTCCCAAGCTCTCTTGCAGTTATATGGGTCATGTAACTCTGTTCTAGCCAATGCAATGCTGGTGGAAGTGATTATGCTACTTACACGCTTGGCCCTAAAAATCTATTATGTGTGGCCGGGTGCAGCAGCTCACGCCTGTAATCCCAACACTTTGGGAGGCCGAGGTGGGCAGATCATGAGGTCAAGAGATTGAGACCATCCTGGCCAACACGGTGAAACCCCATCTCTACTAAAAATACAAAAATTAGCGGGGTGTGGTGGCACACACCAGTAGTCCCAGCTACTCAGTCCTCAAGGCTGAGGCAGGAGAATCGCTTGAACCCAGGAGGCAGAAGTTGCAGTGATTCAAGATCGCTCCACTGCACTCCAGCCTGGGCAACAGAGCGAGACTCCGTCTCAAAAAAAAAAAAAAAGAAAAGAAAAAAAATCATGTGTGAGTCTTCCTATTCTCTCTTTTTCCCCATCTGCTGGTTGAATGCAGGGAATCCAGTAGAAGATCCTGAAATCCAAGAGGTTGGTGGGGCCATTAGCTAGAAAGAGTGTTCCTGAGTTATTGGTGGAGCAAGCTGCCCCTCCCCACAACAACCTTCATTGTATTGTCACATGTCACTGAGATTTTAAGGCTGTTTTTTTATTTTGGTTATCTTATTTTGACTAATACAACTATACTACTCATAGTTCCAGATTAATCTGATGCCCTCTATTTTTGATTATTTAACATTTAATTATTAACACACATAAAGACATATGCAGAAATCACAGATATATGTTGATGAATTTTCCCAAAGTAATCACACTAATGGAACAAATACCCAGAACAAATAAATTGAATATTCTCAGCACCCATAAACCACCCTATGTCCCCTTTCAGTCACTATCCCCCTAAAATCACACATATTTAAAGTATACAACTATATACTAGACATACACACACACGCATACACACACATATCTGTGAAACCATCACCATACTCAAGTTAGTGAAATATTCATTATTCCTAGGTTTCTCGTGCCCCTTTGAATTCCTCCTCCCCACCTTCCCACTTCTCCCTTCCCCTGGTCCTCAGGCAACCACTAATCTGCTTTCTGACACTTTAGAATATTTGAAATTTTTAGATTTTATACAAATGGAATCATATAGTATGTACTCTTTTTTTCTGGCTTCTTCTACTTAGCATAATGACTTTGGGATTCATCCATGTTTTTGCATCTATCAATTGTTCATTTTTTTAATACTGAGTAGTGTTCTATTGTATTGATATTGCACAATTTGTGTACTAATTTTTCTTTTATTGAACATTTGGGTTGTTTCCAGTTTTTGACTATTGTAAACAAGGCTGTATGGAACATCTGTGTACAAGTCTTTGCATGGACATAAGCTTTCATTTCCTTTGTACATATCTAGGAGTACAATCACTGGATCCTATAAAAAATTTATCTTTAACTTTTTAAGAAACTGCCAAATGTTTTCCAAAGTTATTATGCCATTTTACATTCCTACCAGCACTATATGTCCACCTGCCTCTAGAGACAACATGATGTTATTGAACCACCTCGAAGTCTACCCAACAGTCTTTACATCTACCCAAGAGTCTTCACATCTGTGACCTTGGTCACAAAGTATGGCTGGCTCAAAGCAAACCATCCCCATTGCTAGATAATGGGAGGTTTCATCTTTGTGCTACTGATGGGAAGGTCTTTGAAGACAAGACTAGAAAAGTAGGAGGAACAGGTCTAACTGGGACCATTCCCAGAAACTGATATTTTAAATTATTTTTTATTATGGAAAATTTAAAACACCAATTAAAGTATATAAATAGGACAACAAACCCCCATGCACCCGTGTACCCATCACCCAGCTTCAACAATTGTCAATTCATAGCCAGTCTAATTTCATCCAAACCTCCTCTTCCCCTGCCTTCTCAGAATAAATCTGTCACATTATGCAATTTCATCTGTTTAATATATAGTTCTAAATGGTTAAGATCTTATTTTAAAACACAATCAAAACCAGTATCACTTAAAAATTAGCACTAAACGCTTAATATCATTCAGTATCAAAAACTGGTATTTGAGAGTTGAGTGAGGGGCCGGGGAACAACAAAACAAAGGAGAATTGGGATAAAACACATAAAATCTGCTTTTATTCCTAGCCCAGTCCAGATTCACACTGAGTAGCTCAGCTCTTTGTGATGAGGGTTTCTCTGGGGCCATGCAATCTTTCCTTCTCAATCTTATTCCCACTTCTTATCTTTCTCTTCAATTAATCATGTGAAAACAAAGCTATTCTCATGGTTCAGATAAAGCCTCAGTGAATTATTGATCTGAGTTTGAGTTCTACTGCTCAAACTAAGCCACCAGAAAGGAAGACCACTTCTTATCAGCCCAAGCCCCAGAAAGCAGGGCTACCCTGACAGCCTGAATCCTGAAGGTGTAGGGCACAGTGTTTTCTTTCTTCATTGCTAGAGCTTTTCCTGCCATCATGAGGCCTTCAAAGCCCTTGCAGATGTTCTACATTTCTTTTTATTGTGATAGGGTTTTTTGGTACTTAGTCTTTAAAGCTTCACTTTACTTCCTTTCCATAAGGAGAAAGAAACAATAAATCATCAGTTTGTTTGGTTATTGCTACAGACCCTAGAGATTACTTAATACCAGAGCTAGTCAGACCAAAGAAGCACAGACAGCCTCCCATTTAGCAAAAAGTGGCTTCAATAAAGAGTGAAATAAATAATTTTGTCACTCTTGACAAAACTGACCAAAATCAAGGCCACTGGTCTCATAAAGGTGCTCCCTGGCCTCAGGCAGCCTGTCAAAAGAAAGCACTCCTTGGGCTTTTGGCCCTTCACATCTGTGTTTTACATTGTGCCTTACCCCAGAAGGAGATCCTGGATCTCTGGCACCATTTCAATTT